>NC_000003.12:127190422-127341937 GCF_000001405.40 Homo sapiens | reverse complement strand
GACACTGAATCTGCCAGCACCTTGACCTTGAACTTGCCAGGTGTGAGATAAATTTCTGTTGTTTATAAGCTCCCCAGTCTATGGTATTTTGTTATGGCAGCTTGAAGGGTAAGGGATAAGCATGCAGTTGGCACACCATGTCCAAGGGTTCTGCATCATGGATTCAACCAACTGCAGATCAAAGATTTTTTTAAAAAAAATCCAATAAAAATAACATATAACAATAAAAAGTAATACAAATAAAACAATACAGCATGATGACTATTTAAATCACATTACCTTATATTAGGCATTATAAGTAATCCAGAGATGATTTAAAGTATAAGAGAGGATGTATGTAGGTATGTGAAGAGGATGTATGTATGTATATAAATACAACACTATTTCATATCAGGGACTTGAGCATCCACGGATTTTGGTCTCCTCAGGGGCCAATCGCCACACGTACCAAGGGATGACTATGCTGGAATAATGTTGCAATCGAAGTGGAACAATTAGCATTTAAAATGTTTGACCTTGTACCACCTACAATCATTGCATGCATCCCCAGTGGTAACTGCACCATCCTTTGGGAACCACTCGGCTAGCGGGACACCAAGGCAAGACTCTGTGCAAAAGCACACCCAGAGCTTGACCTGGTTGGCTTGGAGAGGGAGAGAGAAATCGCTCAACATAATTCAGCAAGAAGCTTGCTGAGACTTCTCTAGCAGACTGGGGAACAGTGAGTGGTAGGGGACCTAGGATAGGAGAAGCTGGGTTGGGTGAGAGGGGCTGGGGAATTTTGAGCAGGGACAGGGATGTCTAGTGATTAGTGTCAACCTACTTGCTGTGATGCTATGTACACTTTCCCCTTCATTTCCTGCCACATGGCTTCAGGATAGGGGGCCAGATTCTCACCTCACCCCCAGGGTTCTTAGGCTCTGAACAAAGGCCGATTGGGGTGGGAGGATATCATTAGAATAACCTAACAGAGTCCATACCTTCCCACCTGGTGCCCCTAACGGAAGGGGGCATGCTCTTATGTATCACTTAGCTGTTGCTGTGTAACAATTACCCTATAACCTAGTGGCTTGAAAACATAAACATTATTTCTTATAAGTCTACAGTTTGGCTGGGCAATTCTGATAATCTTAGGTGGGCTCGCTCATGCATCCGGGGCCAGTGAGGGTCGGCAAGGCAGCTCTGTTGATATAGGCTGGAGTCTGTCACTCGTTTGAGGGTTTGCTGGGTGGAGGCTGGTCTAGGATGGCCTACAAGCTTTCTTCTGGGTTCCCCAGCAGGTTCACCCGAGCTTGTTTACATTGCAGATGAACTGCACAGTGTCACTTTCACTTCCACCCCGTTCTACTGATAAGGCAAGTCACAGGCCAGCCCAGACTGAAGGGGCAGGAGAATGGACCTCACATCTCGATGGGAAGAAGTATGCAGCCATATTGCAAGGGCACAGACACAGGGAGGGATGCAGAATTGGGACCATGTTTGCGTCAATCTATCACATCTTGCACCCTGTGACTAGAGGCTCCTGGGAAGACCTCCAGCAGAGGCCATTGCTGCTCTCCCTCCTGTGGGTTGCTCCCTCAATGTAGTCTCCGGTGTGAGAGGCACATGTCGATCCAGGCTGGGGTTGGACTGATGTGGTGGACACTGCAAAAGAGCCCCAGAGCCGAAGGGTCAATATGCAGCAGCCCTGTGGCCAGCCACACCGGGGCTGGGTCTGGGAGTCATGGGGGCCTCTGGTGGGCAGTGGAGAGCCGTCCACATCGAGGTGGAGAGGCTGCCCGGGCTCTCAGCCCTGCTCCAGTGCAGCCAGCCAGGGGGGAACGGCAGTGCCAGAAGAAACTGGGAAATCATCTCCCGGCCTCGAGACGTCCTGGGCAGGGAACTGAAGGACTGGGGGCACAGATGGTGTTTTTTATCTTGCATTCCAATTGGCGGCTAAGGCTTTGGAAGAGAAAGGAGCATATGGGAACTGAACAGCTGGCTAAGTAGATGCAATTGAAGAACAAGATTTGATTTTCTGGACCATGGCTTAAGACGGGTTCTTGGCTGGGGCCTAATATTAACAATCTTAATATGCGTTTGCACAGGACTTAACTGTTTAGAAATCACTTTGGCTGATCTGCCATTTCATTGTCACTTTACATTAACTGGAGTTGAGGGAGGGTGGATTTCTACCCCATATCACAGATGAGGTGAGAGAGGAGAGATCCCCTGCCCTTTTAGATGCTAGAGCTGGTAGGTGTCAGGGCCAGCCTAGAATTCAAGTCTGTTTGACTCCAAAATCCATGCTCTTTTTAGCATTTCACATGTGAACATGTGAGCATTGCTTAGAGCAATGTTTTTCTACCTCTTTGTGACCCATAGAAATAAGAACTTTACATTGAGACTGAGGATGTGTGTGTATGTGTGCCTATGTGTGTATTTGTGTATGTGTGCATATGTGTATGTGTGCATATATATGTATATGTGTAGCATGTGTGTGCATGTGTGTAGTGTGTATATATGTGTGCATATGGGTGTAGTGTGTGTATGTTTGCCTGTGTGTGTAGTGTGTAGTGTATGTCTGCCTATGTATGTGTAGTGTACGTGTGCATATGACTGTATGTGTGTATAGTGTGTGTAGTGTGTGTCTATGTATGTGTAGTGTGTATGTGTGTAGTGCATCTGTGTGTATAGATGTGTGTAGCACGTGTATGTCTGTCTATGTGTGTGTAGCATGTGTATGTGTGCCTGTGTGCATGTGCATGTAGTGTGTGCATGTGTGCATGTGTGTATAGTGTGTGGTGTGTGTCTATGTATAGTGTGTATAAGTGTAGTGTATGTGTGTGTATAGATGGGTATGTAGCATGTGTATGTGTCTGTGTGTGTAGCATGTGTGTGCATGCGTGCATATGTGTGTAGTATATATATGCTGTATACATGTGTAGTGTAAGTATGTTTGTAGCATGTGCATGTGTGCCTATGTGTGTAGTGTGTGCATGTGTATATACATGTGTAGTGTATGTGTGTATATATGTGTGTTGCATGTGTATGTGTGCATAAGTGTTTGTGTAATGTGCGTATGTGTGCATACGTGTGTGTGCACGCCTATGTGCATGTAGTGTGTGGGCATGTGTGGGTAGTATGTGTATGTGTGCCTATGTGTGTGTGCGCATATGCGTGCATACATGTGTGTAGTGTGTGTATCTGCATATGTGTGTATGTGTGTGTAGCTTGTGTTTGTCTACTATTTGTGAAAAATAACATCAGAGGGAGATGTACACTGGTTCACAGAAGAAGATAGCTGGGAAGAGGGTCCCCCGCATGCCTGGCAGCCTGTGGACAGAGGATGGAGAACGCGTAGCCTCCTTTGTGCCTGGGCCTCTCATGCGCCCTGCCCGGGGAGCGGGTGCTCCAAGCCTGAGGCCCTGCCCTCTCCTTGCCTGCCTGCTCTGTGGCTGCTGTGGGGCACAGTCCTGAGGCCGAGGGAAGGCACTGGCTGCTCCGCGCCCGCTCATGGCGTCCCCTGCCTTCCCTGGCCCCTCACCTGCGGTCCCACCTCCCGCCCTCGACCTCAGGGCGGGGCGCGACTCGGGCCCATGGAGCGTCTGCCGCCCAGGACCGAGCTGGACACCTCTGCCTGCCCCAGACCGGGGAGTCGCTCCCAAATCGGAGCTCCGCCTCTGTGCCTCCTCTGGAACGTGCGTGTCCGTGCCTCCCGTGCCCCGCCGGAGTCTCAGGTGAGAGCCATGCGCGCCAGCTGTGCCGCAGCCTCGCAACTCCACCCAAGAGCGTCGTATCCGCGGGCACTGAGAGGTCGGGGACAGGCGTCCCAGGTGCGGCTCCGGGGCCCCTCCAGCGGGCTGCAGGCTGCTCCTCTCCGGCGGTCACCTCCCCTTCCCCACGCGCCTCCCCGCAGCTGCCGCCCGCCTGGCGGACACATGCCCTCCTTGACACCCGCCACGGGAGGAGGCTCAGCAGGTGCACTGAAGGGCCCGAGCCCAGCCCACCACCATCAGACTCCGCGGCGGAAGTTGCTTCCTTACAAATTATCCTTCCCGTCTCCTAATGACTTCCAGGGGAACGTCTGGATTTGGTGCTAGCATGTTTAACACCTTTATAATACTTGCTAATCTCTCTGCTCTAACAAAGAGAAAGTAGGCCTGGGGCTTAGAGTCCTGCCAGGCTGCGGTATCAAATTAGGGCTTAACAACTTTATTGTGACTTCATTGTGCTTTCTTGTAGTCGCATTATGGAAAATGAGACTCTCTTCCATTTGTGAAGAGGTATAAAGTGTCCTGTTAGGTATACACTAAATGTAAATTAAAGAAATGCAAAAAACCAAAGAAAATTTAAGTATAAATTAAGACATAATGAATATTTGAGAAAGCATAATTTGAGAAAGTCTGAAATAAGGGAAGGGAGGGAAGTGGGTAGCTGAGGTGTTTGGCAGCTGTGTGGGATCAAGAGGGTGTGGGTGATGGTGGGCCAGCATGCTGACACCTCACACAGGCAGGAGGGAAGTGGGCATCTGGGACCACACCTGAGGTACCAACGGCCCGCCGAGGCCTCTTGTCAAGGCTTCTCAACTCAGCCCCCTTCCTTTACCACCATATCCCTAGGTGTGGACACACCTCTACTGGAGGGTCAAGACACGACTGTGGTTTCTGGAATTGCTGAGCTGCACCCATAAGAAAGTTGACTGACAGGATATCCACCTGCCAGGGGCTGGGGTTGGGTAAGCCCAGGCCCAACTCGGGGGAACTTGTCCATCTTCTCTGAGCCCCAGGGTGCTTGCTGTGGTCCCAGCGCACTGGCCAGCTCTTTCCCAGCACACCCCTCAGTCTGAATCTTGATAATTATGGAGAACTGCCTGTCACACTCCTAAACAGAGTATCTGTCCCGACTACCCCCCGCTGTGCCTGCCTTTCCTCATGCCCAGGTTCAGCAGGACTCTTTTGGGTGCTTAGATAAAGGTACTGCGACAGCTGATCTAACCAGGGTAGAGCGAACCTTGTTGGTTACTCACCCATATCCACCACTGCCTGTTACTGCTATTATTTTCTGTATCACTACAGCCCCAGTCCTGTCTGGGTGTCCACTGTCCTCCATGGAACCCTGGGGAGGGGTAGGTCTTAACTAGCCTAAGCCAATGATAGTAATTTCATTTCTCTAGTCATTGGGCTTAGGAAGAAGCAGGTGACCTGATTCCAGCCATGGAGACCTGAGGTTGCCTCTGTAATGCCTGGAATTTTGGCAACCATCTTGGGATCATGAGGAACGTCAGCCTGAAGGAAACGTGCTGAGAAAGACAAAGAAAGGGGGAAGGCTCTGGGACCTGTGGCTTTTCACTGAGCAGGATGATAAAGTCTGTTAGCTAAGCCACATTAAATTGGGTTTTCTGCTGCTTGCAGTCAAAAATATAGCCCAACTGACATGCAGACGGAGGGCAACGAGCCAATACCCAGCCTGTCTGTCTGCAACTCTCCTTGTCTTTCCCACCTCTTTTCAATTCTCCTCTGAGAAGCTTGGTGTTTTCTTCTATCCTACTTTCTGCAGGCTGAGGGCATGAAAGCGGCTGTGGGAAGCTTCTTTGGCCTATTCCCTCTCCTGGAACTCCATGAAATGTGAGATGGGGGCCACTCCTCAGCTGGGCGTGCCACCCAGCAACTGCTGGGCTCCAGCTTCTCCTGCATGCAGCAAAGCTTGGAAGCCCCTCAGCCCCGCCACACTGTACTCACCTTCATCCAGTGCAGCTATGCAGGGCCTGCTCCAGACACCTCCCGAGGTCCCTCCATCCGACCACATCTAGATCAGAGGCTGCCAAGGAGGCTCAGGACAGCATAGACTTGAATGGCAGGGGACAAGCTCAGGATGGCCTGAGACCTGAATGTTTCTTTTCATGAGACTATATGGTGTACAATATGATGTTTTGATATAAGTATACATTTTGAAATGATTAAATTGAGCCAATTAGCATATTGATGACTTCACATACTTATCAATTTTTTGGGGGGTGTGAGTACATTCAGGATCTACTTTCAGTAATTTTCAAGTATACATACATTATTATTAACTAAAAATGCACCTTGAATAGCATACTGTGCAATAGATCTCCGGAACTTATTTATCCTGTCCCTTTGACCAATATCTCCCTATCCTCCTCATCCCCTAGTCCCTAGCAACCACCGTTTTTCTCTCTGCTTCTATAAGGTCAACTTCTTAGATTCCACACATAAATGAGGTCATATAGTATTTGTTTTTTTGTTAATGACTTATTTCACTTAGCACAGTGTCCTCCAGGTTCATCTATGTTGTCACAAATGGCAGGATTTTCTTCTTTTTTAGGGCTGCATTGTATCCCATGTGTCTATATTCCATATTTTCTTTATCCATTCATCTGTTGATGGATACTTAGGTTGATTTCATATCTTGGCTATTGTGAACAGTGCTACAATGAATGAGTATAGATATGTCTTCAACATACTGATTTCATTTCCTTTGAGTGTATATCTAGAAACGGGATTGTTGGATCAAATGGTAGTTCTATTTTTAGTTTTTTGAGAAACCTCTAAACTATTTTCAATAATGGCTGTACTAATTTACATTCCCATCAACAGTGTACAAGGGTTCCCTTTTCTCCACATCGTCACTAGCACCTGTTATCATTTGTCTTTTTGATAATAGCTGTTCTAACAGGTGTGAGATGATATCTCATCACAGTTGTCATTTGCATTTTCCTGATGATTAGTGACATTGAGTATTTTTCATACACCTCTTGACCATTTTTATGTCCCTTTTTGAGAAATGTCTATTCAGGTCCTCCAACCATTTTTAAATCAAGTTATTAGTTTTCTTGCTATTGAGTTGTTTGAATTCCTTATATAGTTTTGATATTAACCCTTTATCAGATGGTTTGCAAATGTTTTCTCCTATTCCATAGCTTGTCTCTTCACTCTGTTGATTGTTTCCTTTGCTGTGCAGAAGCTTTTAAGTTCAATGCAATTTCTTTGATCTATTTTACTTTTGCTGCCTGTGCTTTTGGGGCCATATCCAAAAAAAATCATTTCCCAGACCAGCATCATGGAGTTTTCCCCTGTTTTCTTCTAGTAATTTTACAGTTTCAGGTCTTACATTTAAGTCTTTAATGAATTTTAAGTTGATTTTCATATGTGGTATGAGATGAGGATCTAAGTTTATATTTTTGCATATGGATTTCACAACACCATTTATTGAAGAAACTGTCTATTCTCTATTTTACATTCTTGAAAACTTTGTCAAAGATCAATTGACCAAAACTGCATGAAGTTATGTCTGGGATCTCTAATCTGTTCCATTGGCATCTGTGTCTGTTTTTATGCCACTACCATGCTGTTTTGATTACTATAGCTTTGTAGTATATTTTGAAATCAGGGGCTGTGATGCTTTCAGCTTTGTTTTTTTCCCCTGAAGATTGCTTTGACTCTTTGGGGTCTTTTGTGGTTCCAAACAAATTTTAAGATTCTTTTTTTCCCTTCCTGTGAAAAATGACATTGGGATTCTTGCAGGGATTTCTTTGAATCTGTAGATTGCTTGGGTAGTTTGGACATTTTCACAATATTAATTTTTCAAATGCATGGACCTGGCTATCTTTCCATGTATTCATGTCTTCTCCAATTTCTTTCTTCAATGTATTACAGTTTTCTGTGTAGAGATCTTTTAATTCTTTGGTTAAATTCATTTCTAAGTATTTTATTCTTTGTGATGTCATTGTAAATCAGATTGCTTTCTTAATTTCTTTATTAGACTGTTTATTGTTGATATATAGAAATACAACTGATTTTTGTATTTTGATTTTGTATTCTATAAGTTTTCTAAATTCATTTATTCTAATAGTTTTGGGGTGGAGCCTTTAGGGTTTTCTATATATAAGATCATGCCATCTGGAATCATGCCATCTGGAACAGACAATTTAACTTTTTCCATTCCAATTTGGATGCCTTTTATTACTTTTTTATTGAGTAATTTCTCTGGCTAGGACTTTCAGTACTACGTAGAATAGAAGTGGCAAGAGTGGGCATCCTTGTATTGTCCTTGTTCTTAGAGGAAAAGCTTTCAGCTTTTCACCCTTGAATGTGATATTAGGTTGGCTTGTCATATATGGCCTTTATTATGTTGAGGTACATTCTTTCTAAATCTAATTTATTGAGAGGTTTTTTTTTTTATCATGAAAGAATGTTAAATGTTGTTGAACACTTTTTTTTTTTTTTTTGGCGGAGTTTCTCTCTTGTCACCCAGGCTGGAGTTCGATGGCGTGATCTCGGCTCCCTACAACCTCCACCTCCTGGGTTCAAGAGATTCTCCCATCTCAGCCTCCTGAGTAGCTGGGATTACAGGCGTGTGCCATGACACCCAGAAAATTTTCGTATTGTTAGTAGAGATGGGGTTTCATCACGTTGGCCAGGCTGGTCTTGAACTCCTGACCTCAGGTGACCCACCTGCCTCGGTCTCCCAAAGTGCTGGGGTTACAGGTGTGAGCCACCACTCCTGGCCTTGTTGAACACTTTTTATGCATTCATTGAGATGTTCATATTATTTTTGTCAATGTGGTGTGTCACATTTATTGATTTGTGTATATTGAACCATACTTGTATCCCACAGATAAATCCCACTTAATCATGGTGAATGCTCTTTTTAATGTGTTGTTGAATTCTGTTTGTTAGTATTTTGTTAAGGATTTTTATATCTATATTCATCAGGGATATTGGCCTATAATTTTCTTTTCTTGTTGTGTTCTTAGCTGGCTTTGGTATGACGGTAATGATGGCCTCATAAAACAGATTTGGAAGTGTTCCTTTATTTTCAATTTTTTGGAAGAGTTTGAGAAAGGTTGGCATTAATTCTTTTTTAAATGCTTGATAGAATTTGCCTGTAAAGCCATATGGTCCTGGAATTTTCTTTGTTGAGAAGTTTTGTATTACTGATTCAATCTTACATGTTGTTAATTTGTTCAGCTTTTCTATTTCTTCATGATTCAGTCTTGGTAGGTTGCATGTTTCAAGAAATTTATCAATTTCTTTTAGGTTATCAAATTTGTTGGCACATAATTGTTCATAGTAGTCTCTTAGCATCTTTGCATTTTTGTGGCATCTGTTGTAATATCTCCTTTTTCATTTAAAACTTTATTTATTTGACTCCTCTCTCCTTTTTCTAGGTTAGTCTAGCTATATGTTTTCAACTTTATTTTTTCCCAGAAAACATCTCTTAGTTTTATTGATCTTTCCTATTGTCTTTATAGTCTCTATTTCATCTCTAATCTTTATTTCCTTCCTGCTGTTGACTTTGGGTTTTAGTTTTTCTTCTTTTTCTGGTTCCTTGAGGTGTAAAGTTAGGGTGTTTACTTCAGATTTTTTTAAAAAATTGGCATTTACTACTCTAAACTTCCTTCATAAAAAATGTATTTGCTGCATCCCATAAGTTTTGGTATGTTGTGTTTCCATTTTTATTTGTCTCAAGATACTTTTTGAGTTCCTTTTGTATTTCTTCTTTGATTTATTGGTTGTTCAGGAGTGTGTTTAATTTTGTGGCCCAGCATATGATCTATCCTGGAGAATGTTCCATGTGTGCTTGAGAAGAAAATATATCCCACTGTTGTTGAGTGGAATGCTCTATAAATGTCTGTTAGGTCCATTCAGTCTACAGTGTTATTCAAGGCCACTGTTTTCTTATTGATTTTCTGTCTGGAGGATCTATTTATTGTTGAAAGTGAGGTATTGAAATCCCTTAGTATTTCTATATCGTTCATCTCTCCCTTCAATTCTATTAATATTTGCTTTATATATTTAGATGCTCCAATGTGGAGTGCACAAATATTTACAATTACTGTATCCTCTTGATGAATCGACAGCTTTATCATTATATAGTGACCTTTGTCACTTGTGACAAGTTTTGACTGAAAGTCTACTTTGCCTTATATTAGTAGAGGCACTTCTGCTTTCTTTTGGTTATCATTTGCATGGAATATCTTTTCCATCCCTTCACTTTCAGGCTCTATGTGACCTCAAAGCTAAAATGAGCCTCTTGTAGCCAGCATGTTGTTGGATATTAATTGTTGTTTTTAAAATTCATTCAGCTATACTATGTATTTTGATTAGAGAATTTAATTCATTTACATTTAAAGTAATTATTGATGTGGAAAGACTTACTATTGCCATTCTGTTTATTGTGTTTGGACTGTTCTGTAGTTCTTTTGCTTCTTTCTCCCTTGCTGTCTTCCTTCGTGATTTGTTGACTTTTTGTATCCATATGCTTTGATTCTTTTCTCTTTATTTTTTGTGTATCTACTACAGGTCTTCTCATTGTGGTTTCCATGAAGCTTACCGAAAACATCATATAGTTATAATATCTATTTTAATCTGATAACAACTTAATTTTAATTGCATATGAACACTACATTTTACCTCTTCACTGCTCCCCCTTGTTTTATGATATGAATGCCATACTTTACTTTTTTCATATTGTGTATCCATTAGCAAATTACTAAATCTATGGTTTTTAAAATACTCTTTTTAACTTTTACAATAGGGTTAAAAGTGATTTATATGTCATCATTATAATATTAGAGTATTCTGAATTTGACTATATATTTATTTTTGCCAGTAAGTATTACACTTTCATATGTTTTTATGTTGTTACTTAGCATCACTTTTTTTCAACCAAAAGAATTTTCTATAGTATTTCTTTAAGGCAGATCTCATGGAGATAAAATCCTTCAGCTTTTATTTGTCTGGGACAAACCAAATTGTCTTAGACAAATAAAAGCTGAGGGCTTTTATCCTTCAGATATGAAAATTGAAAGGATAGAAGGACTCTATTCTTCAGAAATGAAAGCTTTGCTGAATACAGTGTCCTTGGTTGGCAGGTTTTTTCTTTCAGTACTTTAAAAATATCATCTAATTCCCAAACTAGCTTCCAAGTTTTCTGCTGAGAAGTCCACTGATAGCCTTATGTGGGTTCCCTTGTAATTGATAAGTCTCTTTTTTTATGCTGCTTTCAGGGTTCTCTTTGTCTTTGTCTTTTGACAATTTGATTAGAATGTGCCTTGGAATATTCTTCTTTGGGTTAATTTTTCGTGGGATCCTTTGAGCTTCATGCATCTGGATGTCTGTCCCAAGATTTGGGATTTTTTTTCTTTTAAAGCCAGTATTTCTTTAAATAAGTTTTCTGTCTCTTTCCTCTCTTTTCTCCTTCTGAGACTCCCATAATTTGTATATTTATCCTCTTGATGGTGTCCCATAGGTGTCTTATGCTTCACTTTTTTTTCATTCATTTTTCTTTCTGTTCCTCTGGTTGGCTATTTTCAAATGACCTGTCTTTGACTTCACTGATTATTTCTTCTGCATGATTGAATCTGCTGTTGAAACTCTCTTGTATTTTTTAGTTCTTTCATTTTTTCTTTAGCTCCAGTATTTCTGTTTGGTTCGTTTTAATGGTTCCTGTTTCTTTATTAAACTCATTTTGTTTATGCATTTTTTTCTTATTTCATTTAGTTGTCCGTATTGTCTTGCCTCTCACTGAGCTTCTATAAGATGTTTATTTTGAATTATTTTTCAGGAAATTTATAGATCTCCATTTCTTTGGGGCCAATTACTGAAGCTTTATTAGTTTTTTTGGTGGTGTCATACTTGCTTGATTCTTTGTCATCTGCGTAGCCTTGTGAATTTGAAAGAGGAAACACCTCTTTAGTCTTTATAGACTGGTTTTGGCAGATGAAGACCTCCCCCTGGGTCCCTGACCTCATGGGACTGCTTCTGGGGTTGTAGCCAAGTGGGATTTCACCTGGATTATGTGGATACTGTTGCATCTGCAGTGGGGTCTGCGGCTAGTGGGCTTTGGTGCTGGCAAAAAGTCAGCAGCCTGTTACCAGGGGTTTGAAGGATTGTAAATCCTGTCTGGTCCCTGGGTGGCCTGGATTGCCTTTAGGACCTTGGTAAGTAGGGGCTGGTGCTGGGATGGGAGTCTGATTCAGGGTCCACAGACAGTGGGTCTGGTACTAAGTATGTGGATAGGTGTGGCTTCCTCCAAGTTCCTTGGAAGCCTTCCACTGGGTCAGTGATTAGGTCCCTGGGCAGGCAGTACTGGCCTCAGGCCATGGCTGAGAGGGGCTGGAACTGAGTCATAAAGATGCTTAAGAGTCCACAGCTGAGATTAAGTTCTGCAGCCTTGTCTCTGGTGGTACAGACAAGCAGGTCTCCCTCTGGATCCTTGGGCTGGCAAGACAGTGCTTTAAGACATCAGTGGAGAGGAAGTGGAGCCAAGTTACAAGACTGTTTTAAGATCTACAGTGGCACTGGGCTTGGTGGGTCTACCTACAGAGGCATGGGCAGGTAAAAGTGATTTCATGACGTGTGGTTTTTCTATTTCTTTGTAGGTTTCTGCTCATCAATTTTTACCTTTTAAATAGATTTTTCCCTTTTGTTTTTACTATTTAATTTGTTTCATTAGGTATTAGGGTAGGAGATTCTGTGATCCGGCTTCATTTCATTGTCTTTACCCAAATTTCAGCTTGGCCAGCCTCTGTAGCCCTCTTTCCTGAGCAAGCCACTTTGTCACAAACCCCATGAGGAATGGTACCTATCTCAAGCAAAGCAGAGGTATATCTGCCATCACTCTGCAGCTTTGCATCTTAAAAGTAAACAGTCCAGAAGCTGCAGTTTCTTTTCCAGCACCAGGCCTGCTAATGGGGGCAATAGACGACCCTGCCACATTGACACTGAGTTATAAGACATTCTTCTGTAATTCTTGCTTATTACAAAACAAAGTAGAATTCTGTGAGTTTAGCTCAGCATAAGTGTTAACTGTATTTTTTAAAATGAAGCTTATTTGTGAAAACAGGTTTAGTGCAATGGATCAAAACAAGGTTTTTACAATCAGACAGACCTAGGTCTGAATCCTGGTCCTGTGTTTTACTAACTGTGTTTGTAAGTATTCAATGGGTTCTTATTTAATTAAGAAAAGAAACATGGGCAAGTTATGTTGTCTCTCCAAGCCTCAAATTCTTTATCTACAAAATAAGGTTAATAATAGTACTCCTTCAGCTGTTGCTACAGGGATTAAAAGAGATCATGTATGTGAAGTGCCTGATGCAAGGCTTGCCCTGCATCAAAGTCACCATTTAGAACAAGATTTAAAGAAATGCAACCCTCAGGCACACTTACATGCATCATTCATTAATTTAGATTGTTTGCCAATAATTATTGCTTAATTTAGTCCCAATTTTCTCACAGGCTTGAGCAAACCTAACATAATAAGATGCTTGTAAATCCCCCAGTCTGTGCCAGAATAGCAGCTGTTCATCCATAGCTAGGGCTATGTCAGCAATTGCTAACCTCCTTCACTTCTGGCTCAACACATTTAAATCTGAGTTCTCCTTTACCCTCTGTGCAGGAGAAAAAGGGCTCCCTTTTTCCAGCTGTTCTGTTCCATCAGTGTTACCCTCTTTCCTCCAATTTTCCAGCCTACAAATGCTTTCCTCTCCTGTATCTAGTCTTACATTTAATCCACACAATCTGACCAGGTGTCCTGTCTCAGACTTCTCTCACTCTTGGGTACACAAGCTTTGCTTCCCCAACAAAGCTGTAGAGTAGGGCTCGTGTCTCTTCTCTGGAGTTCCCCAGAGCTCCCATCCAGAGCTGGACATGCTGTAGGTGCTTGGGAAATGCTCACTGACTGAGTACACTGTGGGCTTCCATGACCACCTTATCTGGAATAGTTTCCCATTCACTCTCCATCTTCTTGCCCTAATTACTTTCTTCAGAGTGTTCATGACTACTTCATGTGAGATGTTTACCCTTTGTCAATTGCCTGTTTGGGTCTTAGGGTACAGAAGCACCATAAGGACAGCAGCACCATCTGTTTTGTTCCCTGCTCTATCTCTATCATCTGTAAGATTTGCTCAGCATAGAGTAGATTTTTAGTAAACATGTGTGAAATGAACAGAGCCCCCAGAGTTCACCACTATGGAAATTTGGTTACGCATTGAACATTGGATCCTGAGAGGAAGTCCCTAGTAAGTCTTTTGTGTGAGTGCACATGCTTTATCAAATGGGATAAAGTTGGGGGCAAAGGAAAGAGGGAGAGAGGAGAGAGACAGAGATAGAGGCAAAGAACACACACATACACACACACACATGCACACACACATACAGAATTGCACCAGTTAATTGTATCTAGTGACAAGTAACTGGGAGTCAGCTCAATACCTTTTTACCTGTCTGATGGCCTAATCAAAGTCTGCCTTCTTTAATCCCATTCGCCATCCCTCACATTGATCCCAAACCAGAGAAGAGAGGGGAGCACAGGCCCCGGGGCAAAGTGAATGCAATTAACAGCCCTGTGGCTTCATTTCAAAGCTGTCACCCCGCAGTTTGCCCTAATGCTGCAGATTTTTTTTTTCCTCTGGGCTATTTCTCTTTTCACATTTCCTTTCTGCGAATCATGTTTTGAACAGCAAGGAGGCCAAAAACCTATAAAAAGAAACTGTGGCATTACACCAGGGATTCCCAAACTTTTGAAAGTCATGGAATCTTGGTTTAAAGAAAATTCATGGCAAATTGTTATATCTAGAGCTCACAAACATTTATTGGGCACTTTCTACTCACACCAATTTTTTCAGGCTCAGAGAGGTAAAGACAGTTGCTAAGGTCACACAGCTAATAAATGATAGAGCTGGGATTTGAACCCAAGTCCTGGTTCTTGGCACAGGGCTCCAGCCTCTTACACCCAGGACTGCTTCCTAGGCCATGGGAGGAAGGTCCATGCAAGGCCCAAGTGCCTCCCATGTGAAAGAGTCAACTCAGGACATGTGAGGAATGGGTAGCAGAGATAAGGGCAGGCTAGGCTTCTAGATCCAGGCATCCTCCCTGACCAGTCCAGAGGGACCCTTCCAGTTTCTTTCAGATCTGACTTAAAAGGTCAGATCTTAACCATGGAGTGACTGAAGGAACTTGTCCTAGAAAGGCTGGGGTGTAGCATTTGGTGTTTCTCACTGGGCTAGACTTTCAGCCACCCCAGCCAATTCCATGACAGTGCTGGGTGGGCCAAGGGGGAAGTGATTGATCTGTGGATAGCAGAGAACAGTCAGTTGAGATGTATAGCAGGAGGGGCTGCCCAGGGCAATAGGACTGGAACTGGACATAGACTCCTTTGAAGGCTACCCTCCCTGGATCTGCAGTGTGTGCTTCTCTGCTGACTGGCCCTGAGAACTAGGGATGAACTAACTTCAGGGCTGGTTGGGAGTTCCCCTAGCTGCCATTCAGTCCAGGTGCTTCTGGAGCAGCAGCTGGCAAAGGTGATGTGACAGGCCTTCTAGGACAGCACATACAGCTTCCCTACTTGGCTCCTGGATGGAGGGCAGCCAGGTACAACAAGAGTAGGAGACTTGGTGCACATGGATGGTAGAGGGGGTGCAGAGTCATATGCCATGGCATTAAAGAGTCCCTCCATCCCTCTGGAGAGCTCTCTGGCTTCCACCTGAGAGGGTTTGCTTATGGGGAGGTAGGTGAGCAGGATGGAGGCTCCTGACATCTGCTGCAAGGAATGGTGTGAGGTCTGCAAAATTCTTGCATTTTTTCTTGCTCCCCTAGAGAGTGTCCTGGTGGGTCTTTTTTAGTGGTTTGTAGCACCTTTAGGCCTGCCAGCCTGTCAGAATGGCAATGGCACAAGGACACTGCAGGGGTGGAAGCCACAGCAGCTGTCACAGGGTGTGTTCTAGACTAATTAATGCATTGAGTTTGTGCTCACTGGGGGAAGTGAAGGATGCGGACCAACAACATGGTCAGGGAGCATGGCCCTCTTGGTTTTGGTTGAAACAAATGGCTATGACTCTTCACTCCTGCCTAAAGCCTTGCCTTTTGCCTGTGACTTTGCACACCTCCCATTAAGAGGTGAGTCTATTTTCCTGCCCTGTGAGTCAAGACTTGGCCAACAGAATGTGATGGGAACCATAGTGTGCCATCTCTGAGCTAGGTTTCAAGAGGCTGTACTTACTCCGCTTGCTCTTAGATGCCTGTGCCTTTTGCTCAGACAACCCTGGGCCTGCCCACCAGAGAGTGAGCTATCCAGGGCCTGCTATTCCTGCTGCTCCAGCTGATGGGAGTTAGGCCACTTCAGACCAGCCAGCCAGCTGGCCACCCACCCACTGACTGCAGACATAGAGTGAGCCAGCCAAGTTCAGACAGACCTAGCCCAAACCACAAGCATTTCCCAACCAACTCACAAATGTGTGAGACAAAAACAATCAGTGATTGCTTTAAGGCATGAAGTTTTGGGGCAGTTTTTTCCTCAGCAATAGCTAGTGGCATGGTCTGAAGTATTTTTAGATATTCTCCATGTTGGTCTGTGGGGTGTTGGCCGGGCAAAAATGGGTGTGAACTGAAGAGCCCTGAGTGTTTCATAAAAATAGGAGATGGAGGGTATGAGGAGGCTGTCCATTAGCTGGTGCTGAATGCAGAGGAGCTCCCTGCTTGAGGACAGGAGACAAGACAGTGGGGGAAGAAAATGTATGCCCAAGACAGACTCCAAACATTATCTTCTAATCACACAAGAAATACATCAAGATGCTGTCTTTTAAGACAATTGAAAGATTCCAGATAAGCCCCAAATTCCCTTTGAACAACCTCTTACCCTGGTGCACTCCCCAAAGCAATTACTTTTATGAAGTTGATGGTGTCCTTCCAGACCTCAAAAACATTCTTCCATGTTGATATGGGTAGATAAAGTGTTTTTTTTTTGTTGTTGTTGTTGTGCAATATTCTACTGTGTGATTACAAAACATCTTAGTTAGCCCTTCCCCAGTTGACGGAAATGCCCTTATTTCCAGCGTCCACTTGCAACATCCCTGGATGTGCCTCCTTAGGCACCACGGGTTCTCTGGGGAATCAAAACCAGAAGTGAAGTTACTGGGCCCTGAGACACATGCATTTTCACAGGGCATGAGAACAGCCAATTTCCTTCCACCTTGACAGCTCATGAGATTATCAAACTAATTTTTGCCAGTTATGTAGGTGAATAAAACAATATCTCATCGTTGATTTAATTTGCATTTCCTTGATTACTAGTAAGGTTGTGCATCTTTTTTTATGGCAGATGCCTATCTATATCCTTTTCAGTAAACTCATATCCTTTGGCCATTTTCCTATTTGGTTGGTTATGTTTTCTTATTAATGTGATCTGTTGTTTTATATTGTAGGCACTCCCTCCAAGACAGACTTCTCTGTGGAAGCAGCATATTGGAGGCCTGCTAGGACAGTTCACAGGAATGGCTGTGGAGGGCTGCAGGCATGTCTCTAATCAGAACCTGCTTGTCTTTTTGATTGACAGCTGCACTTTCTCCACCAAGAAGTGGGTACTGTGCAAGTTATGGTCATAGTGAAGGTGGGGGACATGGTAAGTCCTTATTGTGCAGACAGTCATTTCCTGTTTTCAATCCCACCTGTAAATGGAATCTCCACTGGGGAGATACCCCGATTCTGGGGCAGTCCCAGTAAGGATCTGCTTCTGGGAGTGGGGGAATCCAGCATGAACACCCAGAAATATACTACAGCAGGGAGATCAGCACTGGTCCTTAAGCTAAGAAAAAGGGTAGCCACACACTGTCACTCAGACATGTGTGCTGAACAGAGCACAGGTGAAGTGGTGTGCAGGAAACACTAAAGACCACATCAATGCATTCTTCTAAGAGCACAGGGTGCTGTGCCCCTGGCATGGAAAGCAGCACAGGGAGTGGGGGAGCCTCCCTGATGGTGGGCAGGAGCCTCCCCAGGAGGCCGGAGAATTGGACAGAGGAGGAGCTGGCTGCAGTGCAGTCTCACTGAGGGCCTCTGCCAAACTCACCGAGCTCTGGGGCTGGAGTGGGCTTAGAACATGTCCCATATTGAGGGGAAGGGGCTGGGCCTTTCAGCCCTGCACTTTCCAGGGAAGGGGGAGCCTTGATAGAGGCAGCTCCATTCAGCAGAGGGCGATGCCTGGGGACAGCTTGGCTGTGGTCCTCAGCAGCCAGCAATCCCAACCAGATACTAAGCAGCTCTGTCGGAAGGGGACACGTCCCAGTGTCTGCACGCTCTGATAGCTCCTGTCTCCTTCAGAGCAGAGCCAGGCTCACAGTGACTGTCAAGCCCTGTCTGCTGCTGCCTCTATGACCTCCTCTTCCCCAGCTGTCCCTCTCTTTCCCTTTCATGCACTCTAAACTGGCCCAGCCCCGCTGTCCCTGGACCATGCCAAGCATTTTCTGGCCTTGGACTCTGGCTGGAATGTCCCCCACCTATCTCATAACAGCATGACTTGGTTCTTGTCTTCTTCCCCTTCTTGTTGAAATGTTCCCTTCTCTAGAGATGTACTCTAACCACCCTGCTTAATGGGGGGACCATTCCCCAGGTATCCTCTGTCCTTCTAACCCTGCTTTATGATTTTCCACAACATTTCTCACCACCAGACAGATCTCATTCATTCGTGAACTCCCTCTCCCTGGGAGAATGGAAGCCTGAGAGCAGGCATTTCTGTGCCCTGTTCACTGCTGGGTCTCCCGGGCCTGGAGCAGGACCTGTCTTGTGGTGGCCGTGTGACAGTGTTCACTGTATGAGTGAATGAACAAATGAATGAATGAACGGAAGACAGGAGGGAACTGCAGGCAGTGGACAGACTCAGATTCTTCTATGGCCATGGAATTCGCTGCATCAGAGCCACAAATACAAATGTCGCTGTGCCGTGAAGGCAAGCTTGGCTTTCTGTGTCAGAGACTTGCTAAGAACATAGCCCATGTCCTTTCTAAATTGTCCCCAGAAGTGTGGGTAGGACACAGCCATGTGATATATCTGGAGGAAAAGTTCAGACTAACAAAATTCCACTTGGAGACCAGGGTGCTGGCCAACAGCGGCACCAAACATCCCTAAAGTCATGTATAGATGGACAATGGACAATGTTTAGTGAGTGTGTCAGGGAGGAAGCAGAGCTGACCAAAACCCCAGGTCTCGCCTCCAACCATGGCTGATGAAATTGGCCTTACCAAGCGTCAGAAGAAGACTCTATCTTATTCAGGTGAACAGTAAGGAGACCCACCTTTGTAACGAGGGGACCAGCGGTGGCAGCCCTTCTCACATGGAGTGCCCAGTGATTCAGTCACACATGGGCCCAGGTGCTGCTGGGAGGTGTTTTGTAGATGTGGTTAACGTCTGCAATCTGTTGACTTTATGTACAGGAGATGATCCCGAATGAGCTGCATAGGCCTCATCGAATCAGTGGAAAGCCTTGAGAACAGAGCCAAAGTTTCTCTGAGGAAGGGGAAATTCTACCTGTAGACAGCAGCTTCAGTTCCTGCTGCAGTTTCCAGCCTGCCCTTCCTGATGTCCTTCCCTGTGGATTCCAGATTTGCCAGCCAGTCCTCATAGCCACATAAGCCAATTGCTTGTAATAAATCTCCTAGTGTTAATGATCCTTTAATAATATACATATAAATAATATATCCTAGTATTAATAAATCAATCTCCCTCTCTCCATCTCTCTCTCTCTCTCTCTCTCTCTCTCTCACACACACACACACACACACACACACACACACACACACGTCTTACTAGTTCTACTTCTCTGGTGGAACCTTGACTGATATAGATGAGTAACCAGAAAAAATTTAACGTGGAGAGGGGGCTTGACCAGATGTTTTACCAATCTGTATAGACAACTTTCCAAAATGTGGTCAGTCAGGACACAGTCATCAGTAGTCTAATCAGGTGGACTTAACTATCTAAGGCCAAAGCACAGCCAGCCAGTGTCATAGATCTGGATGGCACAATCAGTATAGCAGCTGTCCAGAACACAGCTGACCAGGCAGGATGGATTAAAGCCACAATGTAGAAGACAAGATGAAGACAGGCAATTGTCCTGGACGTGGCTGTCCAAGAAGACAGTCATGGGGGAAATGGCCAGTGTTTCCCAGGATCTGAGTGGCCAGTCCATAGTCATGAGGCTAAAACCAAAAAGGATTCACTGTCCACGACACTATGGCCAAGAACATAGTTCTCAAGGGCAAAGCCAGTGTAGACAGAGCGGATAGGACATCAATGACCAAGAACAAGTCCCAAGGATGCACAGCCAATGCCAACATGTAGATGGTTCTAAACTGTACAGGATACTCATGGCCATGCATAACCTTGAGGGAAGTGTCCTTGAGACAGCCACCATGTGTACTTGTGCTAGAGGTAGGCTGTGGTTTATTTTTCTCATTTATCCAAGAAGCTATTTTTGTTCATTAAAACCTAGTTACTTGCTGTATCTAGCCAGGATCCTGGAGTGCTCGCTTGGTTAATTTAAGCAAGCAGAGCTTTGACAAAGTAATTTTATTGTCCTCTGGGATTGGCCAGCTTATGCCAAGCCTCACTCTTTCTGTTGAAATGGAGTTAATTTTCGCTGAAATTGCTTCTTAGCAGACAAACATATTCCCCATCATTGAGGGCTTATGCTTCTGCAGCTCTATTATTCCTTAATTTACACACTCGGCAGCATAGGATCCATGCCCAAGACAGACAGAGACTCCTGCAGGTGGAGGAAGGCGGAGAAGACGGCAGCCCCTGTTCAGCTCCTCATACCTGGTTAGAATTAGCCGTTAGCAATTAGTCATCAATCATCCAATCAGTCTGTGCAGCCAGAGCCCCCAGTGTGCCCAGCTCTGTGCCAACCACAGCAAGAGGATGCAAGGAGGAGGGGTTCCCTGTCTGAAGAACCCAGTTTATTTGGGGAGGTGAGACTCAGACATGGGACTCAGAATTGACACAACACAATATTAGCTCAGACTTTGGCTCTGGTCCAAGACATGGAATAATGGAGCGACTTGCTGATGGGACATGAAAAGATGGAACGGTCTGAAAAAGAAGGAAAGAGAATGGCCCTTGGAGGGGACCTGTCATAGAGGAGCCCTGAAACTTCTGGTAAACCTTCAGGGAGGGGCTGCAAAAGTGGGCAGAATAGGATGGACTGGGTAAATGGGTCTAGGAGGAGCACAGTGGCAATCAGTGTTCTTCAGAGTAAGGAAGGACAGGAAGTGTTCAGGACAGGGCAAAGGCCAGGACTGGGGTCAAGACCATGACAATTAAGCCAGCATCTGAGTCACTATCATTGCTGGCCTTAGAGTCATGAAGGGCATTCAAGGTGAGATCAAGGCTAGAGGAAGGGCAGCTTGGCCCACAGCTGATGTCATGGCCAGCACCACGGAGAGCTCCCGTAGGTTCTGGTGCCTCCCACACCCAGTGGGCATAAATATTCAGATCCCAGTTGTAGAAGCAGAAATAAGTAAGCCCATGTTCTTTCATTCAGCCTTGGCTAGGAAATATAACTGAAGCAGAAGACATGGGCTTTGCCTAGCAGCTAATGAAGAACCTTGAAAAAAAAAAGGGAGTCTGTTGACACAGATGCTTTGAGAAGACAAGCAATAAGCTAGCCATTACATCTTGTTAGATGGATTAGGAGAACACTGGGGAATATTTGCATACCAATTACCATAAAATTTGAGTTCAATCTATACTTATTTTATGACTTGCCTTCAGAAAGTTGAGTTTCTGTGTACATCTGTTTGCTAAGAAGATTCATTTTCCTGTAATATTGAAATTTTTGTCATAATAGTTTCAAAAAGTGTTGACTTGTAACATTAACATTGAAGATTAAAAATGTTTATTAAAAAAAGCATTTGTTAAAATGTTTGTAGTAGGAAAGTGTTTATGCAAAGCTGCTTATTCACCTTGATAATGAACCCAAACCAAGCTGTATAAGTGTTGAGTTCCTTAATATTAGAAATATAGTAAGATGCACATTTCCATGTAAAATGTATCTGCAAGCACAACAAAATACTGTAACATACCAACTTTAAAACCCAAAGCATAATCTTTGTTCACAGAGGGTCAGGTGTATCTGGCTCCAGGCTCCAAGGAATCACACATCTGAACCTGCCCCATTCTGCTGTCTCTCTCTATGACTCTGCTGGGGCACTAAGCCCCCGCTTCCTTGGAGACCTTGCTCCTGTGCATCATGTGTTGTTGTTGTTGTTGTAGTTGTTGTTGAGATGCAGTCTCACTCTGTCACCCAGGCTGGAGTGCTGGAGTGCAGTGGTGTGATATTGGCTCAATGCAACCTATGCTTCCTGGGTTTAAGCAATTCTCGTACCTCAGCCTCCCTGAGTAGCTGGGATTACAGGTGCACACCTGCCATCATGCCCTGCTAAGTTTTGTATTTTTAGTAGAGACTGGGTTTCACCATGATGGCCAGGCTGATCTGGAACTCCTGACCTCAAGTGATCCACCCACCTTGGCCTTCCAAAGTTCTGGGATTACAGGCATGAGCCACCATGCCTGGACTGTGTGTCATGTGTTTTTAATTTTATTCACTTGTACTGAGTTTGTGTCTGCCACCTAGAAATTTCACTTACTGCTTTAGAGCTCAGCTAAGTTCTTAAAACTTAAGTATGTAGCTGGATGCTGTCTCAGTCCATTTGGGTTGCTGTAATAAAACACCCAGTTTACAAACAATAGAAATGTATTTCTCGCAGTGCTGGAGTCTGGGAAGTCCAAGATCAAGACAGCAGCAGGTTCAGTGTCTGGTGAGGGCCCATTCCTCATAGATGATGCCTTCTTTGTGTCTTCACGTGGCAGAAGGAACAAACAAGTTCTCCCTGGCCTCTTTTATAAAGGCACTAATCCCATTCACAAGGGCTCTGCCCTTTTGACCTAATTGCCTTCCAGATGCCCCACCTCTCAACACTACTGCACTAGAGATTAGGGTTCAACATATGAATTATGGTGGGGAGACACAAGCCTTCAGACATAGCAGGTACCTCCACACTTTTGGGGTGCATGTTGGGGGTGGATTTTACACGTGCCTGCTCTGTCATTTGACCTACAAGTTCCATTTTTCACTCCTGGCTGGTTAACTAGTTGGGTAACAATGTAGACTGTGAACTTTCACAATGCTCAGCACAAAATAAGACTTATTGTAGTTTGATGGATTGATGAACAAAGAGATGAATGAATGAATGAATGAATGAATGAGGCTTCTTAGGAGAGCAATTTAAATTCAAGAGACAAATCACCAGCACTGAAGGAGCAGGAGTGGGGCAATCTATTGGGAGCTGATTAAAGCAAAAGCTTACACAGCCTCACCTGGCCCTGAAGGCTGCTCAGTGTGCAACTCAGCCAAAACTTGGACAATGTGAAGGAGGAGTTTGTTCAATTGACCCTGGATACTTCCACTTGCTCTTGAGGGAGGAAGAGGCAGCAAGACTGAGATGCTCCAGTTTGAGGATCTAAAGCTAGACAAATTTGAGGTTGAGTCTCAGCATTGCAGTATGAGCTGTGTGGCCTTGGCCAGGTTACTCAATGCTTACTGCCTCAATTTTCTCAAGTGTGAAATAGGGAAGGATAAACAAGAGTGTAGCCTCATCAGGCCACAGAGATGCTTAGACACCAAGCACTGCATCTGGCACCAAGGAAGTGTTCACATAGCCATTAGAATTGTGAAGCAGGTGACACCTGCTGCCTACCACCTGGAGCAGGATGTCAACCCACTGCACAGTTTACAGGTGTCAGGGTTGCCAAGAAAGACACAACTCACACAGGCACTGGATGGAACAATACTTTACTTACACGGAGAAACTTCACTAGTGACTGTTGGTTCCCCGTGGCCAGTGGGTCTTGTCCTGAAGCCAATGCAGGGAGGTGGTCTGCACGTGCCCCTCTCAGGCTGCAGGTGAAGGACCTCATTTCCCTCTTGTCGGCAACAGATATGGCAGTGAGGTTGGCCAGGCACGATATGATGGATACGCTGAAGCAGACCAAAGAAGTACACACGAGGAAACAACAGAGAAAGGTGTCCTCAAGCACGGTGGTGAGTTCAGCACAGGTTGTGTTTCCTGAGCTCCTTATCTCCAGGGAAGGAATGGCTCCAGGCACAACCTCATGAGATTGAGCAGGGGTGGAGCAAGCTGCTCACGGCTGCCTCTCCTGGCAAGTGTTGCTACCAATACGATGGTCCTGGTGGTCATTTCTTGTTGACCCCCTGTGCATCTCTTTCTCTTTCTCAGCTTCTTTTTTTTTTTAAATTGTATCCTTCTCACCTTCTTTATGAGAACCTCTCGTCTGTGCGTCATGAGGCTCCGACCTCAGCTTCGGAGGAAGCCCCAGCAGTCTTGGTGCTTCCTTCACCTCTTTGGCTTATTTCGTTTTTCATTTATACTATTGTCTGATTACAACATCAACATATGTTCATTGTTTTAAAAAGACAAAAAAATCCCTAAACATGCAGAAAAATGGAAAGAACGAAATTTAAATTATTAATAAGTTTATCACTGTTGTCAGTATTTTGGAGTATTTCCTTCAAGCGTTGTTTCTACAAATAAACATACACACATTATAAACAAAGTTGAAATTATATTACATACAAAGTTCTTAATATATGTTTTTACTTAACATTTTCTCATCTCATTACATATTCTTTGAAAGCACCTTTTTATGCCTACAAAGCATTTTATCTTATGGGTGCAACATGCTTACATAACTGCAGCAATGTAATTCTGGTAGATGATATATTTTTGAGTCTTGTCCTCAGATAACAAACATTTGTAGCATGTTGCATTTGTCTAAGTCTGTACTCAATTCTACCTCACACGCTTTCTTCAGATAGCAGCAATTTTGATCTAGTCATTTCCAGGTGAAGTCAGTCACTTGAGATTTAAAATCAGATCATTTCTGTTTGTCTCCTTTTTCCTCTTCTCCTAGGTTGGCATCTAAGATTCATTCTTTTCTGTTTTTCAAAAGCAAAACCCTAAACGCCTCAAGACACGAAGTCAACACCACCACCAACAGTCAGCTTTCCCACCAGCCCAGGTAGGATAAAGCCATGCAACAGCAAGTCAAAAGGAGTGGAGGCCCGAATCCCAAAGACAGCAGAGTGCAGGTCCCTGGAACCTGCCTGGGTCTGTACTTCTCTCCGGCTGCATGGCACCATCCCCTGGGAGCTTTCCGAATTCCTGAAACCGGGCCATGCTCCAGATGAAGGACATCAGATTCCATGGCTGGCTCCTGGCTTCAGTGCTTTTTATATCTCTCCAGACGATTCCAGTGTGTAACAGCCAGTGCTACTTGCCTTTTGCTGTGCACGTGTGGTCCAATCAATGGATACCATTCCGTTAAAATGCAGAATCTTGGTCCCACCTCAGACCTGCCCCCTCAGAATCTGCACCTTAGCAAGGTCTCCAGGTGGCTTAAATGCACATTAAAGTGTGAAGAATTTATATGAAAAATAATAAAAGTCGTAAAAACCATTTATACAGCTCTTAACCTCTCATCCGTATTGATGGTATAAGAGGACCAATAATTGGCTTTTGAGAAATATATGGAATAGGATTATTTTGGAGAGAGCTCTGCTGTGATTCCCACCTTGCCCAAGGGGTGTGGTGGGGATGTGATCTTGTCATCGTACCAAAGAAACTGCTGAGAGCTTGCTGTCTGCTCTTGCAGTTTGGGGAATACCATAGCACACTGTCTGAATCACATATGAAAGTACAGGCCTGGTGCTGTGGCTCATGCCTGCAATCCAAGCACTTTGGGAGGCCAAGGAGGGCAGATCACAAGGTCAGGAGTTCAAGACCAGCCTGGCCAATATGGTGAAACCCCGTTTCTACTAAAAATACAAAAAATAATTACTTAGGCATGGTGGCACGCACTTGTAGTCCCAGCTACTCGGGAGGCTGAGGCAGAAGAATCGCTTGAACCCTGGAGGCGGAGGTTGCAGTGAGCTGAGATTGCACCACTGTGCTCCAGCTTGGGTGACAGAGTGAGCCTCTGTCTCAAACAACAACAGCAACAACGAAAGTAGAGAGGGTGAGGGCTGGCTGAGTGACCTGCAGAGGCTAAGCTAAAGGACTCTGGTTTGGAAAGTCACTGCTTCCAAGATTTGCTGGGCTAAGGAGTGAGTGAGCGTGTCACCTGGACTGGAGGTGGACACATGCCTGAGAGAGCCTCCTGGCTGCCCGGGGCTTGAAGGGACACACAGATCCAGGGCTGTAGAAGGAATTGGGAGTGATCACAGCAAGAGGGCTGTCAATATGAGGCATCCTCTAGGATGAGCAGCCCCTGGAAGGCCCTGTAAGAGGAAGTGCCAACTTGAAACACCTGACACATTCCAGAAACCAGAGAACAACCAAGTTCCCAATCAAGGAAAATTCTTCCTGTCCCCTGCTCCCCAGCGGGGGTAATGTAGCTTGGCATGGTGGAGGAGTGGAAGGAGCTGAGCACGCGGTTCTTCCTGGTCTGCAGCAGGCCCCAGAGCAGGGGAAGGAGACATGGCTCTAAATCCTGTCTGATTGCTTCCTGCATGAGGACGTCGGATCACTGAGTTGACACAGAGGCTGGTGATTTAATGTGGCCCTGGGATGCTGTATTGGCAACACGATGACTATAACTATCACTGCCCCCGCCATCTACAGGACCAGAGAAGTTATGGGGCCTGCCCAGCAGGGAAGAATAAGGAATGGAGAAAGAAAACTCAGAATGAAGTTACATCTCCTTGTCCTGCAATGGCTGGCATGGCATTTGCAGGCTGGGTGGGGTTGGAGAAGTCCCCAGGCAGAGGCCTCTGAGGCGGGATGGATAGAATCCCAGATGGGTTTGGGAATCTGTATAGGAGAAACTCTAGTGCCTGCTGCCCTGCAGGGCTCTGGAAGGCCACGAGTGGTCCAGGGCTCCTCTGGGGCCTGGACTTCCTTGGGATTCCACACCTGGCCATGGAATGAGGCAAAGGAGGTCCTGGTGGGAGGTGTTTGGGTCATGGGGGGAGTCCCTCATCTTGCTCTATAAATTCCAAAAGAACTGATTGTTCAAAAGAGCCTGGCACCTCCCTCCCCTCTCTCTCTTTCTTGCTCTGCTCTTGCCATGTGACTTGCCAGCTCCCCTCCTCTTCCACCATGAGTGGAAGCTTCCTGAGGCCTCACCAAGAGTAGGTGCTGGAGCCACGCCTCCTGTACAGTCTGTAGAACTATGAGCCAAATAAGCCAAATAAACCTCTCTTCTTTATAAATTAGCCAGCCTCAGGTATTTCTTTATAGCAATGCAAATGGACTAGGACAGGGTCTATTACAGCATTACATACATATTCATATGTAATCTCTGGAAAGCTTTATATTAAATGTTAGTAGAGAACTCTTTGGGTTATGGAATTGTAGGTAATTTTTATTTTAGTGATAGCTGTGCTATGATTTTTACATAGAATATGTATTACTTTGATAAAAACAATAAAATTTATCTTAGAAGTCCTTTTCCATATTGTCATAAGGTAAATTATCATGTTTATTTTCTTCTACTTATTTTATTGGTTCACTTTTTACTTTGAAATCTTTAATCCATCTGTAATTAACTTTGGTGCAAGGTGATGATCTGTATTTTTTTAGAGTATTTAGTCAATATCCCAGTAGACTTTACTGCACAGCCCAGCCTTTTCTTCTGATGTCTTAGCCTTTCTTCCTATTTTCCTTGCTCCTGTATTCTGTGTCACCTCTATCACGCATAAGTTTGTCATACATACAAAGTCAGTTTCCATTTATCTGCTCAGCTATTCTAGTGCCAGGATCACACCATGGTATTATGCCTTTTAATAATATTATTATCTAGTAATGTAGATCATGCTCATCATTTTTTAAGTGTATTCTTCCACGTAATCTTCAGAACTACCCTGCCAATTTGAACTAGATATCACAATTATTTAAGAAGAAATAGCATATTGGAACTATTTAGACTTTCCATTCAGGGACATGGATCTAATAGACTTCTTTAACGTCTGTTATTATCTTAATTTTTTTTCCTTTGACTAATACCTGCAGTCTTCTGTGGGGGGAGTTCTTGGCTGAAGAAAAATAAGACTTCAATTAAAATTTGTTTAAAAAGCAACAATAGTGAAAACCCTACATATTTAAACAAATGGGGACACTTAAAACTATATTCAGAGGATTATTCAAAGCCTTAAGCACTTTTTTTTTTGAGATGGAGTCTCGCTCTGTCACCAGGCTGGAGTGCAGTGGTGCAATCTCAGCTCACTGCAACCTCTGGCTCCTGGGTTCAAGTGATTCTCCTGCCTCAGCCTCCTGAGTAGCTGGGACTACAGGTGTGTGCCACCACGCCCAGATAATTTTTGTATTTTTAGTAGAGATGAGATTTCACCATGTTGGACAGGATGGTCTTGATCTCTTGACCTCGTGATCTGCCCATCTTGGCCTCCCAAAGTGCTGAGATTACCGACGTGAACCACCTCACCCGGCCAAGTACTTTCAATAGTAGGTAAGAAAATCTGAAAATAAACTAAGAATTCAATTTTTTTTAAAAAAAAGCAGAGCTAAAGAAAGCAAGAGAAAGGAAATGATAGTATTACAATCATAATTTTGAAAACAAGAAAATTAGAAGAACTGATGAATAAATCCAAGGTCCACTTATTTAGTCTCTAGATGTATTAATGGATTTGTCTGTTTCTTCTATCAGTCCTATCAGTTTCTGCTCCATGTGTTTTAACACTGTGTTGCTAGGTGCATGTATGTTCAGGATTATTAATGTCGTCTTGCAGAATTGACTCTTTTATCACTGTGCAAAAAAGTCCCCTTTTCCACAAATAATATTTCCTTTTATCTTTTGTGATGCCTGTGTTTGTCTGCAGCTTTCAGTTAGTATTTTCATGGTATATTTTTTCATCCCATTGTTTTTATCCTCGTTTTGTCTTCCTTTTTGTAATAAATATTTATTTCTTTTTGTAATAAATTGGCAATAGTAAGTAAAATGCTTCTTTGAGTTCTTTGATTTGTCCTGGCAAATTATTAAACATGAGGAGGGCACTCATGGGAACCCTGATTCACAGCAGTTCGGTCAGAAGCACAGGAAAAACGACCTGGGGCTGGTGATTGGTATCAACAGTGGGAGCAGACTTGTGGTGCTGAGCCCTCAACCTGTGATATCTGACACAATCTCCAGGTAGGTGGTGTTGGAATTGAGTTAAATTGTGAGACACCCAGCTGGTGTCTGCTAGAGGATTGCTTGTTGTGTGGGAAAAACCCACACATGCTTGATGTCAGAAGTGAAATATTGAGGGTGTCGAGTGAGAATATAGTAGGAGAAAAAAATGTTTTTTTTCCTTTACAGACAAGTGATCAATACAATAAACATGGAGCCCTCTAATTTATTAACCACAGCCTGTTAGCAGTATAGAAAATTTAGTCATAGGATGAAAACGTTTTACAACATCAAAATGAGGAAGGTACTGTGTCTACAGACAGAGGACATGTGTGTTACAAATGCACACTGCATTCAGGTCTGTGCTGGTCATCTTGAAACCCTGAAAAAGTGAAAGATTTTATCTTACAAATACAAATGATCAAAATTGATTCAAGAAAATGTAGAAAGGGGATATATTGGGAACTATGAAAGAATAAAAGTATGCAAAAGCAAAAATGACCTTCAATGATAGCACTGGAGTTTTGCTGGGTAGGATTTTTGTTGTTGTTGTTCTTATAAATTTCTTTTATTTCATTTTAACTTGAGAGATTTGCTTTAGGCAGACCTTGACATACTTTAATTCCAGTCTATTTGATTATTTTGCACCCAAGTGAAAAAAACTTACTGATTATTTATTTGGCAAAAATTATTAAGTATCACCAGAAACTGAAAAGTGTGATGCAGTCTCTGTCCTTCAAAAATTTGCAAATAATAGGGTGGGAAATAAGAATATTAAGAAACGTATAATGTACTACCTAAAAGTTATAAATAAAAACCAATGAATCTAAATGGTCATACCCAATTTATATGAAGTGAAACATATTCATGAAATATTTGATATATGGGTTTGAAAATGAGGTGGAAATTACTCGGGATGACTTGAGATAAAAAATTTTTGATTGGGGTGACATAATGAGACATTAGAAAGATTAATTCAGTAGTGGTGTAAGGATAGATTTGAACAAGGATGAATTAGAATACAATATGACTAGAAGGCAGGAAAGGGGTTAGGAACCCATTGAGTAGTTTAAGTGAAAGGCAGGTGATGGTATCCTACACTTCATGTTACCACTGAGATGCTTGAAAGTGAACAAATTTGGGAGATGTTGTTGCAGCAGAATTAGCAGAACTTGGCAAGGAAGATGAGTTGAACATGACTCTAAGGTTTTGAGCCTTCATGATTCAGAAAAAAATTTGGTGGCATGAGCAGAAATAGGAAAGTCAGCATGAGGAAAGGTACAGGGAGGCAAGCGGGGTGGAAAGAGAGTGACATTGAATGTCTGTGTTTTTAGGTATTTGAGATGCTGGGAAACCTCTTGGGTCTAGTAAGGTAAAAAACTGTCATGTAGGCAGATATGGCTAATAAAGAGGATGCCATTAGTTTGATAGACAAGTAGTTCTGTTAGTTGCCAGCTCTATGACCTAGGGCAAGTTATTATCTGACCCCATCTGGTTTTAATTTTCCTTGTCAGTATAAGAGAGAACTGGCTTTAGTAAAAGCTGGCTTAGTAGATTGATGCACCCTTTGGCAGGTATGAAGTGGTTTGGAACCAGTTGCCAAAATAATTTGTCCTAGATTTTCTACAGGCTTTGGATCAACCCTGTTATCTCACTATGGTCTCTCTCAAAACTTAAAGAAGATTTGCTGTTCCTGTGATCACCAAGATTGCCCAAGTTGATGCTCATAGATGCCCCCAGAACCTTTGCCTTCTGGACCATGAGTATACATAGTGACAAAGAGGCCTTTATAAGATATATGCTGTTAGCTTCCCAAAAGCCTACTCCCACTAAGATAAAAGGCACAATTGACTCCGTGTCTTTTTACTCCTTTTCCACCTTCTGAAAAAAAATGATAAAAAAAGACCTCATAATTTTAATGGAAAAAGACGAAAGAAATCCTGTATTAATTTCCTTGTTTTTATGGGAAATTCCTCATTGTAGGACTTGAGTCCACCTTTCCCTTTTTAAGCACCTACTTCATCCAACATTTGCCTGAACAGAGTGATGTTGCCAATGTTTAGTCGGTAGTGACCTCTAAACAGAGATAAAAAAATGGTAAAAATGTTGCTCAGCTGATTCACCTGCATCTGATTAAAAAATTTGATGTTCTGTTTGGGATATTTTCTTGTAGAATTAGAATGTAAAAGTTTGGTGTTTACAGCTGGGAATATTTCCCTGCTGGCTTTCAGTTCATTTCGTTCCTCATTAACCTTTATAAATATTCTAAACGGAAATACCCTTTTATTTAAGATGCAGTGCTTTCTTAGCTAAAGAATGAAAGAAAGCTTTAATATGGCTGTTATGTTCCTGTATCACCTATCCTAGGAGAAACACAAGGAAAAGCAGTGTGGCATTCTTGGAAAAAGATTTTGGAGTTACAAAGACCTAGAATTCCACTTTGGCTCTGTGACCTGGTAGCTGCATGACCTAGAGCAAATTATTATTCAGCCTTTCTAGGTTTTACTTTCTTCATTGGTGTGATGGGGTTAATGCCTGTGTATTCCAACAGTTGTTAAGAGGATCCAGTGGTATAATGGTGGCATTTGTCTTTAAGCACAGGAGTTCTAGAGTTATACTCCATGGGACCAAATCCTGGTTATATTCCTGTGAAGATAGTTTACTTGCCTAAGATCCTTTTCTCATCACGAAATGATGATTATAATAGCACCTACCTTATAAGCTTCTTGCGAAGATAAATAAGTGAAAACACACATTGACCAGCAAATATTAAATGTGCAATAAATATTAGCAATATTGATTAGTACATACTAGGCACTCAATAAATAGAAACTTCTCTCCTTTTCCTCCTTCATGTAGGCATTGTCAGGTTGTCTCTTCCATATTTTAAGCAAATAATCTTTCAGAGTGTCTCTTTCATATATTAAGCAAAGCAACTCTTAGGATATAGGAGAAAACAATTCTTACATCTTTGCTGCTCATCTACAAAACAGAGGATCATTTGCTGATTTTAGGTATTACCTTCTTTTGAATATAAGGCTTGGAAACTTGAAGACCAAAGGAAAGTGTCATTTCTTTAGAGCAATTATAAATGTGTACAGTCTCCTAGTTATCGAAATTGAAAGCTACCCTGCCTACCGCAATCTATTCGTCCCAGCTTCAAACACATTTTGAAAAACCCTCTGGGTGCTATCTTTCTTTTTAGTTATCCCTAGCCTTATTTCTTTCTTTCTTTCTTTTTTTTTTTTTAATTTTTTTTGTATTTATTGATCATTCTTGGGTGTTTCTCGGAGAGGGAGATTTGGCAGGGTCATAGGACAATAGTGGAGGGAAGGTCAGCAGATAAAAATGTGAACAAAGGTCTCTGGTTTTCCTAGGCAGAGGGCCCTGCCGCCTTCGGCAGTGTTTGTGTCCCTGGGTACTTGAGATTAGGGAGTGGTGATGACTCTTAAGGAGTATGCTGCCTTCAAGTATCTGTTTAACAAAGCACATCTTGCACCGCCCTTAATCCATTTATCCCTTAGTGGACACAGCACATGTTTCAGAGAGCACGGGGTTGGGGGCAAGGTTATAGACCAACAGCATCCCAAGGCAGAAGAATTTTTCTTAGTACAGAACGAAATGGAGTCTCCTATGTCTACTTCTTTCCACACATACACAGTAACAATCTGATCTCTCTTTCTTTTCCCCACATTTCTCCCTTTTCTATTCGACAAAACTGCCATCGTCATCATGGCCCATTCTCAATGAGCTGTTGGGTACACCTCCCAGAGTGGGTGGCGGCCGGGCAGAGGGGCTCCTCACTTCCCAGACGGGGCAGCCGGGCAGAGGCGCCCCCCACCTCCCAGACGGGGCGGCGGCCGGGCGGGGGCTGCCCCCCACCTCCCGGACGGGGCGGCTGGCCGGGCGGAGACGCTCCTCACTTCCCAGATGGGGCGGCTGCCGGGCGGATGGGCTCCTCACTTCCCAGACGGGGCGGCTGCCGGGCGGAGGGGCTCCTCACTTCTCAGATGGGGCGGCCGGTCAGAGACGCTCCTCACCTCCCAGACGGGGTGGCGGCAGGGCAGAGACACTCCTCAGGGATTTTTTTTTTTTTCATACTTTGAGGGAATTGGTAAATTCCTGGCTATACAAAGATTTGGTGATATTCCTCACTGAGGATAGCTACAGGAGTTATTTCTTTCCTCCTTTAGTCTGGATTTATTATCTTTTGTTGTTCATACCCTATTGATTTTTTTCTGGGCTGGTTACTTCTCCCCATTGAGGCCCCATTTTTCCCTGGAGAGGAGACTGACGGGTGCTCCCATCCCAGCTCGACTGCAAGCATTTAATAATAAAATCCTTAGGAACCAGTTTCTTTAAAAATGTGTAAATGCACAAGGAGCGCATTATCATTATGAGAAAATAAGGAGAAAAACAGCTATTGCCAAAGTCTCTGGTTCCAGAACTCTGCTGTACAACACTGTACCTATAGTTAACAATACTGTATTGTACACTTAAAAATTTAAGAGGGTAGATCTCATGTTAAGTGTTTTTACCATGAAATAAAAAGAATATTAAAGTTCATGAAGTCTTTAAAAATAAAGCCTTTATTGAATCCTTGTACTGAAGGAAATTATTTTGTATAAAAAAGTGTTTTTACTTCAGGAATATAAAAGATATGTGCCTAGAAATCAAAATAAAGCTTGATTTTTTAAATGGATGAAAAGGAAGGAAGAAAGGAAGAAAGAAGAAAGAAAGAAAGAAGGAAAGAAAGAAAGACAGTCAGTCCCCGGAGACAATCTTCTTCATTCCAAGACACTTTCCTCCTCGTGGGCAGTGAGTGGAATTAATGGGTGAGAGCCACATTCTAAACAGGGTCAGTCGAGATCTTCATGGCTTCTGGCAGAGCTGAAAGTTCCTTTTTGCAGAGTTTATTTCCTCATTTTATAATTATACTATATCTAAATTATCTTTATCTTATTTTGTTTGCTTTTCCTTTGATGTATATAAACGTTATGGAAAATTTTTTTTATTGCTATCCAAACTAAGGTAAAAAATATATTTTGATTAGATGTTAGCTTGGGTCCTCATTTTATGCCTCAAGAGAAAACCAACATAAAAATGAATAGAACACACTAACCCCATTCCCCTTTCCCGGAAGATGTCCACCCCTCAGCTCCTTGATGGTTTAGGAAGTCTTGGCTACAGTTGCAGAACCTCAGATATCTGATGTCTCTTACTCACCCAAGTGAGTTGCGTGGGCTCAGATCTTTGAAGAATTCCATCTTTCAGAGAGCAGGCTGAGGGGACTGCATGAAATATCTGGCATGGTATGAAAAGAGGATGTGAAAATGGGACTTTTGCTGACATCTGGAGTTTGGCTGAGGCCCCAAGTCCGAGGCCTCAGTGTTGGCGCCCACATCCTGGGGGCAGATGCTCGCTTATCTGTGGTAGAGACTCCTGCCTTTCCTGACAACCATTCTCCTTTCTTCCCTGGTCTTCCTTGGAGTTCATGTGGTCCTGTGATACCTTGAAACATAAGGGAGAGGAAGGAAGGCTGACCCCAGGAGCCTGTTCCTCTTTGCCTTTCCCTGTTTTTCTGCTTGAAATACGAAGAGGAAAGCGAGAGTTCTGCAACCATCCTGAGGACTCAACAGTGGCTCAGACATTTGGAAAGGCAGAATGCGACCCTCAGGGCATGGCCTCATGCCAGCGTGGAACTCTACCTCCAGGCTTCATCTGGGTGATGCACTCAGGCCACTGTTTGGGAAGCTCTACAAGTACAGCCAAGCACAACTACTGGCTTGGATACTGAAATGCGACATGGTGCTAGATTTGCAAAGGCCATAGAATGGGGGGCTGAGACCTGACTGTGGGAGGGAGACTGGAGGGGAGGGCTGCTGGCACACTCTGCCACTTTCTCCCCTTCGCCAGGTGAGGGGCCTCAGGGGGACAACTCTGAGATTGGCAAGCACCTCTTCCCGAGCTTCAGGGCATGTGGTGAACGACCTGACTCCCCTGAGCTGCCTTTAAGAGAGAGACTGGGACGGCGGGGTGAGGGAGACAACTGCTGGGCTGCTGGCTCCTCAGCACTGACCTTACTCCCACCACAGCTGTCCTGCTGGCCCCGGGAGGGCCCAATAAAGAGAAGCCGGACTGGGCCACCTTGAATGAGATTCTGCTCAAAAAAGGCACCTGCAGAGGGGTGGCCTAGAAGTCAGCCTGGGGCGGAGGGCCAGGGACAGAGGAAGGAGGGTGTGACCCTGTAGACAGTCTCAGTCCCGCCTTGAAGCTGCCAGGGCACCTAGGGAGAATGTCAAGAAGCTGGGAGCCCCATGGAAGGGAAGAGTCAGTGGCTGCTGTGACAAAGCCCAGGCAAGGTCGGCGGCTTGGCGGCAGCAGACATTTACTCCTCGCGGGGCTGCAGGCTGGAGCCCGAGGTTGGGCGCCCATGGGGCTGGGCTCTGAGCTGCTCCCTTTCAGGCTGCAGCTGACTGCATTCTCACTGTCCTCACACGGTAGAGAGAGGAGGGAGCTGTCTGGGGCCTCTTTCATAAGGGCCCTTATCCCATTCATGGGGCCCCCATCCTCATGACCCAATCACTAACGCCACACCCAAAAGCTCCACTCCTAACAACATCCTATTAGGGGCTAAGATTTCAACATGTGGATTGAGGGGACACAAACATTCACTCCGTAGGAGGCAGCATCTGGGCTCGCAACATGGGGAGCTCTGGCAACGCCAAGGGATGGAAGGCTGCCTGAGGTGGTCCTCGACCCAGGTGACCTCTGGAGCCAGAGGGTCTGCCATGCAGAGGAGGAGTGGGGGACAAGGAGAGGAAAAAGTAACCACTCTTCCTTTCCCAGCCGAAGGCCTCATTGAGATAAGCGCTAGAGGAGCAAAAGTTTTTAATGCGATAAAAGTCTGGAGTTTTGATATCGGACGAGACCAGACTTTGTCTTCTTTGTTAGGGATCAGAAATGCTGTGAAGCCTGCCTGAGATTTCACTGAGGTGGGGAAGAAAGATTTAACACAGCCGGGAGAAAAGGCGGCAGTGTCAAAGACGGAGGCTGCTTTCTATCTGCCCCTTTCCGAGCCAAGCTTGTTTAGTGGCAAGCCTGGAAATTTAAAGGGGACCGAAAGGGGGGTGAACTCCTCTAGCTGGTGGCTGCCTCTTGCTGTCCTGTGGTTTCTGTTTCGTTGGAAGCAAAGGAATCAAAGCACTTTGCTGTCAGAGAGGTAAGGCATTCCCAATTTTGGCACACCATCAGATAACAGATGCACAAAAAGAATAAAATAAAAGTCGCCTGTATTCTGCTTCTCACAGATAACATTTTTGTGTCTGGTCTTTCAAATTGGATAACTGGACAGCAATGGCACTTTCTGTTGTCTCAGAGAAGTGTCTCTGAAAAACTAGTGCTAGACACATCCCTGCAGGATTTAACAATAGCCAACTGGATCCATCTTCATCACCCACTGCCTCTAGCTTTGAGAAGAGGTGAGTTGCTCAGCAGAGGAAAAGATTATTTGCAGGAAACTTTTAGACATAGAGGGCTATGCCATTGATTGTCCTTTCAATACCTATAGTCAAGGAGAGTGTGTTCCTCCTTTGGGTCAGATGCAAGGGCACCCCAAGAGAGTCACTATAAAATTTAGGGTGGCATGCAATAGGGGAGCCCATGGCTGGAGGAGCTGTGGAAACTTGTGCTATGCTTGGATGGAAGCATCAGCTGGTTCTTGGAAGCAACTTGTGTCCCTTGGAGTTTAGAGGCTTATGAGCATGAGGACAGGTGCCTGACTCTCCCAGGAGCCTGGATGGCAGTGCTCCCCCACAGCAGCCAGGAACAGGGAGCAGGAAAGCTGACTGCAGGTACTGTCAGTCAGGGCAAGGACATTTGATGTCTTCATGTCAGTGGACAGTAGGGTGGAGGTCTGGTCATGAGTCATCCCGGAAGGACCCCAGCCCAAAGCCTGCCTGCCAAAGGGACTGTGGACATTCCTTTGGGGGACAGGAGTGGAGAGCAGAGGCAGGAAAGAGGAGTGCTCATTGGCAAGTCAGGGCATGGTGCAGTGGGTGTCCCTTGAGGGGTGGCTGTAGAACCACAGCACCCACAAATGGAAAGGGCTTTGCCCCTTTTCCTCATATCCTAGAGGATCCAGAGCACGGAGGGTGGAGGAAGTGCAGACTGTGCCCTCTCTCTGCCCTGCACTGGTCCTGAGGCTGAGCACCATGCCAGGGCCTGGGGAAGGGAGACCTGAGGGTCCTCTGGAAAGGCCATGGTGGGAGGAGAGCAGTGCCCTGTGCCACTGTACCTGGGAGCGGGCGGAGCTGTGTGCCACTGTACCCGAGAGACAGGGGGCAGAGCTGTGTGCACTGTACCCGGGAGGGGGCGGGCAGAGCTGTGTGTATTGTATCTGGGAGGGGGCGGGGCAGAACTACGTGCATTGTACCCAGGAGGGGGCAGGGCGGAGCTTTGTGTATCGCACCCGGGAGGGGGCAGGCAGGTACAGTACAGTATGTACTGTACCCGGGAGAGGGCGGGGCAGAGCTGTATGTACTGTACCCGGGAGGGGGCGGGGCAGAGCTGTGTGTACTGTACCTGGGAGAGGGCAGGGCAGAACTGTGTGTTCTGTACCTGGGAGGGGGCGGGGCAGAGCTTTGTGTGCTGTACCCGGGAGGGGGCGGGCAGAGCTGCGTGCCACTGTACCTGAGAGAGGGCAGAGCTGTGTGTACTGTACCAGAGAGGGGGCGGGGTGGAGTTATGTGTACTGTACCCGGGAGAGGGCGGGGCCGAGCTCTGTGCACTGTGCCCGGGAGGGGGTGGGGCCGAGCAGTGTGCACTGTACCCGGGAAGGTGCAGGTCCGCAGCCTTCTGGGCCTCGTGATTTTTCCTTACGCGATGAAGGAATAAGTAGTGTTTAGGATCTTGCATTTAATGTAACAATGTATTGTGATCATTTTTCCATATAGATAAACTTCTACAGCTTCATTGTCAGTGCCTAATTGACAAATTTATTTAATTCCCTGAAAGAAATTGGGTATTTGGAAGGATTCTTTTTTATTCAGTCTGAAACTCAATCTCACATCAGCAGCCATCACACCAAAGCCTAATAGAAATCAGGACTAAAATGTGGATATTGGTTTCTATTATTTTTATTTAACATTTTCCTGCAGTTTCTAGCTACTTCAATTACATATGAACCATAAATAAGAGGTATAATTCTTATAAGTGAAGAAACAAAATTATAATTATTTGCAAATGATATGTTTATATATCTATGCTTCCCAAGAGTATCAAAGAAAAAATAACTGGAATTAATTAAGAGGCTTCAGTCTAAATACAATTTTACTCAAATGAATTTTCTGTATAACATAAGTAACCAGTACCATTGAAAAAAGAGATCATTTACATAGGGACAGAAAATATTTAAGTATTTGAAAGTAACATTTACCAAAAAATTTTAAGACTGCTGTAAATACATTTACTATATTTTGCTGAAAAGAAAATCAATGGAGTACTGTATTTCTGGATAAGAACACTTAATATATTTTAAAATATGTTGTGACAACTAAGCACATTTATAAAATTTTCATCATCCTATGCCATCAGGGAAATGAAAATTAAAACAATGAGATACCACTGCACACCTATTAGAATGGCCAAAATCCAGAATACTACAACACCAAATGCTGGTGAAAAAGTGAGGCAGAAAGAACTCTCATTCATTGCTGATGGGAATGCAAAATGGTACAGCCACCTTGAAAGATACTTTGGCCATTTCTGACAAAGCTACACATAGTGTTACTATATAATTTAGCAATTTTGCACTCCTAGGTATTTACTCAAATTATTTGAAAACTTATGCCCACAAAAAATTGCACATGAATGTTGATAGCAGCTTTATGCATTATTGTCAAATCTTGGAAGCAACCAAGATGTCCTTTAATAGGCGAATGGATAAATAAATGGTGGTACATCCATACAATGAAATATTATTCAGCAATAAAACTAAATGAGCTATCACACAGTGAAAAGACATGGAGAAATGTCTTAAGTGCTTAAATGCATATTACTAAGTGAAAGAACCCGGTCTGAAAAGGCTACACACTGTATGATTCCAACTACATGATATTCTGGAAAAAGATAAAACTATGAGGACAGTAAAAAGATGAGTGGTTGCCAAGGGTTCATGGGAAGAGAAGGATAAATACATGGAACACAGAAAATATTTAGGATGATGAAGCTACTCTACCTGACACTATAATGGTGAATACATGACATTATATATTTGTCAAAACCCACAAAATGTACTCCACAAAGACTGAACCCTAGTGTAAAGGGTAGGTCATCATAAAGTATGAATGTTCATTCATCAGTTTTAAGAAGTGTACCCCGCTAGTGCAAGATATTAACAATAGAGGAAACTGGGGAGGTGGGTATAAACTCTGTACTTTTTTTTAGTTTTTCTGTAAACCTAAAACTGCTCTAAAAAAATAAAAGCTATTAATTAAAAGAAAAAAAACTATCCAGCCACAAAAAAGCATGGATAAATACTTATTGCTAAGTGAAATAAGTCAGTCTGAAAAAGCTACATATTGTATGATTCCAATTATATGACATTCTAGAAAAGGAAAAACTATGGAGACAATTGAAATATGAGGGGCTGGGGGTTGGTTGAGCAGGGGAAGCACAGGGGAAGCACAGGAGATTTTTTATTGTGATGAAACTATTCTACGTGATACTGTAGCGGTGAATGCAACACTATGCATTTGTTAAAGCCCATAGAACTTCACAGCACAAAGAATGAAACTTAATATATTCAAATTAAAGAAATAGTCATTTAGGAGGTGGAAGGATCCCAATGTAGAACGCAGGATATGACAAAACAATCTAACTGTATTACAAATGTATGAAACCACCTCACGGAAGGGGATGAAGGAAAATGACACCGACCTAAGTAATTTTAGAAATGGGTGGAGACTGAAAATATAATAAATGTATGTCAATAAAAATATATATCAACTCTTTCTTAGCCAATTTACTGATTTAATGTAATTCAAAATCTCCAGTAAAATTGTTTTTTCCCCAAAAAAACTGATCACAAAAATAATACAGATTATTTTTAAAAGAGGAGGAATAGCTAAGTAAATATTGGATAAGCAAAGCTGGGAGGTGAATTTCTATAACTGGTTATGGGCAAAAGGAACTTTACAAAATCATGGGACTATTGATAAAGTTGTTTCCCATTGGCATTCAGTAGAACACTTCTAAGTTAATGGATTGGATGGTGGGAGCCAAGTTTCTCACTTTTGGAGTGGGAGGTTCCAGTTAAGCAAGGGAGGAAGCTAGGATGACCCATGTGGCAATGGATTAGAATTGGACACATCAGTATGAACTTAGGTTTAGCTTAATGTAGATGTAATTGGTTATATATAGAGATACACACATGTAGATAGATGATCGATAGGTCAATAGATAGATGTGTGTGATTAGTATACACACCTTCTTCCTTGTTCTGTCAGCTGAGCAGACCTCGAAGCAATGACACTCCAGCACCAACTAGCACAGCTGGGGCCCAGGTATTGGTTTCTAATAATCTCCAATGAAAGGAACCAAAGCTCCTTGGAAAAATGACTGGTTTTAGGACTAGGGCAGGAAATATACCAAATCCAAAACCAAAACCCCTACGATGATGGGAGTATTTAAAAGGACACGGGCACTACCTGAAAGAGTTCCCAATGAACCTTTGAACGGCAAAATAAATAGTGTAGCATCAAGTTATAACCCCCCCCAAATGAGTTGCAAAATAAATGCCCGTAAATCCATACTGATATAGGCAAATGATTGAATAAAGAAATCAGTGGGGTTGGGGAAGGGAAAAGACAAATCTATAGAGAAGAATTCCAAATAATTTAGATACTCTGCCCTCAGGGAGGTAGGGCATAGCCTTCACCCCTTAAGTGTGGGCTGCACATAGTATCTTCCTTCTGAAGATTATGGTGGAAATGGGGAAAAAGGAGTAACTGCAGTGGAGAAACCTGACAAACCCTAACTCTGCCAGGTGACCATAGTCAATGTTAGCAGTGGTTTGAGTCATGTTGAGAGCAGGTGCCCTTGATGAGAAGGGCAATTTTCCTCTGTGGTCTTCCTCCCCAACACACCTCATCTCAGTCTAATCATGAGAAAAATACCAGACAAATCTCAATGGCAGGACATCCTGCAAAATATCTGACCAGTATGCCTCAAAACTCTCAAGGTCATCACAAGCAAAGAACGTCTGAGAAACTGTCACAGCCACGAGGAGCTGAAGGAGGCGTGATGACTAGTTGTAATGTGGCACCCCGATAGGATCCTGGGACAGCAAGAAAGCCATCATATAAAAGCGAAGAAAATCTGAATGGAGTATGGGCTGTAGTTAATAATAATTATCATTATTGGTTCATTAATTGTAACAAATACAAGGTAATCGTAACTAATTTAAGATGTTAGTAATGGGGAACTGGGTACTGAATGTATGGGGAACAAACATCAGTAATAGCTCTACAATTTTTCTGTAAATATGAAACTATTCTCAAGTTAAAAATTTACTTAAAATTATATGTCAACTCTTTCTTAGCCAATTTACTAATTTTAATATAATTCAAAATCCCCAGTAATTTTTTTCCCAAAATGGAAAACTGATCACAAAAATTATGCAGGTTATTTCCCAAAGAGGAGGAATAGCTAAGTAAATATTGGATTAGCAAAGCTGGGGGGTGAATTTCTATAAGTGATTTTAAAACATGTAAAGGGACAACCTTAAAACAATATAGTTCTGATGCGAAAACAGAGCAAGGAAATGGAATGCTTGACCCCCAAACAGGCTTGAGAGCTTGCCTCTATAAAGGTGGCTGCTCTGAAGGACTGAAAAAAGAAGGAATGGGCATATTTGCAGACATATCAGGCATAGAGTCATCCAAAAAGCATCCGGTTTTATTTTAATTTTAAATGTGGCCTGAGGTGCAGAAGGCTGTTGGTCGCACTCCTCAGATCATGGCCGGCTCTCATCCTCACTCCATGCAAGGTTCTTTCTGGTTCTTTTTTGTTTTCCCCTTATCCTTCATTCAGACCTTACCTCCCCAGCAGCACCCAATCCAGTGTGTTTGGTTTATGTCTTTAGAAAAGCAAGTACTTCTGAAAAATAGGCAGTATTGTTTCATGTATATATTTTCAGTTTAGATAAATGCTAATATCCAGTAGGTCTAATTGTATTTCTTTCCTTTTTAGCCCAACAATACGCATCTTCAGACGAAGCCACGTTGCTGTATGTGCTCTAGTGTAAGGCTTTGGGCTGCTGTACGGTGTCACGTAGAATGCGCCCACCATGTGGATCGCTCCCTTCCTCTAGCAATGGAGGTTGCCTCACCCTTCCCAGTCCCACATGTGATACTATGATGAAAGAACTTTCTGGTTCTCATTTCTTGTGTATGTGTGACTTTCACCAGGATTGACTCAGGAGGGTGAGTGCTGGGTCATAGGGCCACTCATACTTAATTTCCTGAGTGCTACCAGCTTCCTCTTCATAATAAATGCACAGCGCACATTACGGCCAGCTGTGCACAGGGCTTCCATGACCTTGGTACTCCCCAACATGTGTATTACCCAATTTCCTCATTTTGCCCATTGAACAGGAATATTTTGCATCCTGTGGATGCAGTGTTTTCATTTACTTACTGAAAAGGCTGAGCACTGCTCCCTCTTCTCTAGTCCAGCTTCTTCAACGGACAGCCCTTTCATATCTTTTGCTCATTGTTCTATTGAATTTCCTGCCTTTTTTGGCTATCTTGTTATGTTATCTTATTTATTTATTATTTTTTATAGATTTAGAGGGCACAGATGTAGTTTTGTTACGTAGATATATTGCATAATGTGCAGGTGGGCTTTGAGTGTAGCCATCACCTGAACAATGACATTGTACCCACCAGACAGTTTCTCACCCCCACCCCCAGTCCACCCTCCCACCTTTCTGAGTCTCTGGGGTCTATTACTTCACTCATGTGTACACATTATTTAGCTCCCACTTATAAATAAGAATAAATGTCCTGCCTTTTGCTCATTGATTTGCATGAGTCCCTGGTATATCCCAGATTCGCCTCTCTGGCTGATGGCTGTCTTTCTGCCTTACTGTGGAGATCAGCAGGCTATGGCTTACTTGAGGCAATGTGGGGAGACTAGAGTTATCCCCAAAGTACTCCTCCTCCACCTCTGTCCTGGGCAAAGGGCCTTCCTCCTCCACCTCTGTCCTGTGCAAAGGGTCCTGCCCTCTCTTCTACTCAAAAGTGCCAGTGCTCCATCTCTCTGCCAGTTCTCCAAGCACCAGCCACAGCCAGTGGCCCCAGGGGGTCTCACTGCTTTTAGTGTTGGTTTGAGAAATCCATCGACCTCCCTCTGGCATTGGTGTATCTCTGAGGCTATCTTTGGAAGCAGTGACCCTGTGCTAATTTGACATCTTACCTAGAGCCAGAAGACAGTGTGCCACTTGCCAGTTTTACAGGGAAAAAGATTCAGAGGAAAAGTATTTAAGTACTTTTCACATTGTATATTGAAGATATATTAAAGTGGTTTTTTTTTTAAGGGGAAACATATAATTATTGTGTTTGTCACATCTAGTGGTTGAAAGCTGCTCTTCTTGTTTTCTCCAAGTCCTTATCATTTTCTTGGTGGGTAGCAGACCTCACAGGAGGCCTGTACCATTAAACAGAACCCAGGGTCATGGCAACAGCTCGAGTGCTTCTGCACCACGGGCTGTGGGAGCGAGAGATTGAAATCTGAATGATTCAAGAATAACTGTAGCTCATGTGTACTGAATGGCTTGTGGTTCATTATTTTTGTGAAGAAATCTATAAAAGGAAGCAGAGCTGGTGTTTTCCTTGTGAGGTTTTTTCCATGGCCACACTTCATCAGAATCTCTGGGGTGGGGCCCAGGCATCCTTGTTTTTTCACACTGTTCAGGTGACTTCAAGGACAGCCAAGGTTGAAAGCCATTGCCAACCTAGACAACTGGTTTTTAAACCTGGCTATACATTGTATTGCCCGAGAGGATCCTGCTTCCTGGCTCCCACTCCCAGAGGTTCCGATTTAACTAGTATGGAATACAGCCTGGACACTGGGATTTCTAATGCTACTCGAGTGATTCTAACGTGCAGCAAGGTTGAAGAGCCTTGGCCTTTGAGTGTGGCAATTCCTCTCCCCCACACCTCTCACACCACTGTGTTCTTTGGTTTCATTCCATCTGATTTTTGAGCTTCCCTTCCAATAGTCACTATTTATTTATTTTTGTCCTGAAGGCTGTCTTGGAATTTTGCATATGTTTATTGGTTGTTTATTCACCATTGCTTTTTGTGTCTCATGCCTTTCTTTGGTACTCTTTTTTTTCCCTACACAACAGCTTCCTTTAGAAGTTCGTTTAGCAGAAATCTGGATGGAGCTATACATTTTCTGCACAGGTTTTTAGGAAATCTATTTTTTTTTTTTATCTTCTGTACTGACGGTTTGGCTGGGTATGGAATTCTGCCTTGATGGGCTCTTCCACTCTGAGGGCATTGTTCCACTGCCTTCTTTCCTCCAGGGCTGCCAGCGAGAGGGCTCTGCCAGGCTGTTAGGTGTTTTATATAATGTCTCTTTTTTGTCCAGTTGCTTTTATGCTTTCTCTCTTTGCCTTTTGTTTTTGGCAGTTGTACTCGTATAATGTTTGGGTGTCAAGTTATTTATTCTTGGCCTGCTTGCAGTTTTTTAATTCTTCCATCTTAGCATTCAAGTCTTAGCTCGATTCCAGAGCATGTTCAGCTGCGCCCTCTGTGGATGTGCCTCTTCTCCCTCCTCTTAAGTGTATGTTGGATGCCTTTAGAACCTCCCTCATGTTTGTCTCCTAACCTCTCTTTCATATATTCCATCTCTGTGTCTATCCATTTGCACTACGTTTGAATTCTTTACCTTTAAGCTATGTCATATTAATTTAATTTAATTTAAATATTTTTAAGGCAGGGTCTTGTTGTTACCCAGGCTGGAGTGCAATGGCGCAATCATAGCTCACTGCAGCCTCGAACTTCTGGGCTCAAGCCTCTCATGTTGCTGAGACTACAGGCATGTGCCACCATGTCCAACTAATTTTTTTTATTCTTTTAAATTTTTAAAATAGAGATGGGATCTCACTATGTTTCCCAAGCTAGTCTCACACTTCTGGACTCAAATGATTCTCCCACCTTGGCCTTCCAAAGTGCTAGGCCACTTAAAATTTAAATTTTTATGTTTATATTTACTTCAAGAAGTTGTATTTGCTTCATTTCAAAATCTACATGTTTTGTTTGTTTTCATATTTTCCTGTTCATGCTTATGCATTTTATTCCTTATTTTATCTTGTTAATAATTTTAAGCATATTGGCTTTATACTTGTTATTTAAATTTCTTGATATGCTAATCCTTCTCTTCCTTTTTTTAGCCTACTCTTCCACTCAGAGACTCACTTCGTTATCGTTCATATGGGAGTCCTTATCTTCTGGAGATGTGTATTGAAATATTTATTATTGAAATGGCATGATGCCTAGGGTTTGCTTCCAAGGATCGGGTGTTGAGGGAGTGGGTGGGGTATAGATAAAGCAATATTGGGTCTGGGATTTGTAGTTTTTACTTATGAGCTCATCTTTACTGAGGACTTTTTCCTTTGGGAATTCTCATGTTCTGTGCTGTGGAAGTATTGCTAGAGAGAAAATTTTTGTTTTCCTCAGCTACTTATCCTCATAAATTTAACAGATGCTGGATAAGATTTTTAAAAATTGATATCTTGTCTTTGAGATTTTGGCAACATATGGTTAGTATAAATTGGGATTCCACACCCTGCTTAGGAACCTAGGATTCTTTTACCCAGAGCTTAAGTAGACCTCAGCCTCTTTGTTGCTTCTCTGGGCTGCTGGGAAGATTCATTTTAGTTCCCTTTTTCACCAACGGGCAGTTCTTCCAGGATCCCAGTTTGTAACTGAAGTCTCACTTCTGGCTCTCAAATGTGGGGGTACAAGGACAAGTCTCCATTCTGAGCCAATGTTTATAAGGTCACCATTATATCAGTTATTTTTGTCTTTCAAGGTCAGTTCTATATTTATACATTTTCCAGCATTTCTATGTATGTGTGTGTGTTTGTAGTCTACGTTCTGCCATGGTGTTGGTTTTTGATTGTATATAGGAAATAACTTAGCTTTTTCCATTTAAATTTGTAATCAAGACTTTTCTTAATTATCTTATTCTTGGATTTTTCAGATAGACAATATCACTTGAATAAGTTTATAAAAATAATAATTAAAATTTATTGTTTTCCTACAAACAATATTATCCATCATTGTTTCATTATTTCACCTATTTTTCAAATTATCCTCAGATAAATCTCTGTGCTATTACGAGTCTCCACTCTGCAGGTGGAGGAATGAAGGCTTGGAGCTGTTAGGTGACTTGCCCAAGGTCATGTACCGTGAGTGGGACACGGGGTTTGCAGCCTGGGTACAGCCACTCTGAGTCTGCACAGTTAATGCCTACTCCATGTTACCTCCCTAAATGATTATGATACATTTGCTTTAAAAAAAAATACCTTTTTTGTGTGTTTTATTAAAGTGGCTAAATGTTCCAGAACAGTCTTCCAGTACAAACCTCCTGTAGGATAGAAAGTTGGCCCCCACCTGGTATCCAGGTGCTCCTCCACATTCCCAGCCTCACCTGAACTTAGGTTGAGGCCAGGTGCCTGGAGCTGGCCAATGAAACAGGAGTGAGAGTGAAATGGGGGTGTTATGTTCCAGGTGGCAGAGGCTGCCAAACCCACATCAACCTTACATGAAGGAGAAGTAAACTCGGACTGAGGAAAGCAACTGGGATGGGAGGAGAAGGGTTCTGTTGTGACAGCAAGTGCCAGTTACCCAGCTTTTGCCTGCTACTTTGTAAGAAATAAATCTTTATTCTTTACACATTGCTCAGTCTCAGATATTCTGTCATAGAGGCACAACATACACAAACGCACTACATACATCTTCTCCTTCCTCACTGTTACCATAGTGTCCCCTCCTTTTGTCTAAAACCAATCCCTCCAACCCTGCTTCTCTCATTATCCCTGCCTTCTCTCATTATCCCTGCCTTCTCTCATTATCCCTGCCTTCTCTTCTCAGAACCTAATCATTTCATCTTTCTCAGCCTCATATATTCAATCCCATTCTCTTAATGGGATCCTCTTTATTTCTTTTATTTTACTTAAACATTCTTATTGTGATTATGATTTTTAAGAAGAGTCCTTACCTTTTAAATACTTACTGAAATATTTATGGTCTCAGTGGCATTGTGCCTGGGATTTGCTTCAAAATAATCCAATGTTGAGGGAGTGGGTAGAGCACAGATGAAGTAAGATGGGCCAAGTTTTGGTACCTGTTGAGGCTGAATAATGGGTACATGAGGGAGGTATCACGCTCTCCTGTCTACTTTTCTGTAGAAATGTTTGAATTTTTTCATAACAGGCAGCTTTTCTTGAAATGGTTCACAAAAATTAATAGAAGAAAAAACTTTTTAAGAAATTATTTTTCAAAAACAGGAGGAGAAAACAATTTTATTACAATCCGTGAAACACACTTACCCCCAATGCCTCTTCATTTCCATCCTCCTTATCTCCCAGTTGTTCAGCACTGGGGACCTCGAGGGTATTTTTGTTACATTGGGGTCTTCAAAGAAGGAGGGAGGGGCTGTGAGCCAATGAATGAAGGCAGCTTCTAGTAGCTGGAAAAGGCAAGAAAACGGATTCTCCCCTGGATCCTCCAGAGGAAACTCAGCCTCACTGATACCTTGATTTTAGCCTTGTAAGACATATTTTGGACTTCTGACCTCCAGTGCTGTAAAATAATAAATTTGTGTTAAGTCACTAAGTTGGCAGCAATTTGTTACAGCAGCAATGGGAAACTAGTATACATGTTTTATCACTGAATCAAAATATGGTCTTGGTCTGATACTGAGTTCCCTTATGGACAGAAGCAATATAATGCATAGGTTAAGACTTGGGGGGCGTCCCCACCCGGCAGCCGCCCTGTCTGGGAGGTGGGGGGCGCCCCCAACCGGCAGCCGCCCCGTCCGGGAGGTGGGGGGCGCCTCTGCCTGGCAGCCACGTCTGAGAAGTGAGGAGCCCCTCTGCCCGGCCGCCACCCAGTCTGGGAGCTGTACTCAACAGCTCATTGAGAACGGGCCATGATGACGATGGCGGTTTTGTCGAATAGAAAAGGGGGAAATGTGGGGAAAAGAAAGAGAGATCAGATTGTTACTGTGTCTGTGTAGAAAGAAGTAGACATAGGAGACTCCATTTCGTTCTGTACTAAGAAAAATTCTTCTGCCTTGGGATGCTGTTAATCTATAACCTTACCCCCAACCCCGTGCTCTCTGAAACATGTGCTGTGTCCACTCAGGGTTAAATGGATTAAGGGCGGTGCAAGATGTGCTTTGTTAAACAGATGCTTGAAGGCAGCATGCTCGTTAAGAGTCATCACCACTCCCTAATCTCAAGTACCCAGGGACACAAACACTGTGGAAGGCCGCAGAGTCCTCTGCCTAGGAAAACCAGAGACCTTTGTTCACTTGTTTATCTGCTGACCTTCTCTCCACTATTGTCCTATGACCCTGCCAAATCCCCCTCTCCGAGAAACACCGAAGAATGATCAATAAATACTAAAAATTAAAAAAAAAAAAGACTTGGAGCTCTTGAATAACAGTCAGGTTAAAATCCTGATTCTGCCCCACAGTAGCTGGGTGACTGTGGATAAGCCACTCAAGCACCCAGTACCCCTGTTTCTTCCTTTGTAAAATGAGAATAACAGTATTACCTACACACTAAAGTTGCTGGGAGGATTGAATGCATGAATATGTGAAAAGGACTGGGGACAATGCCTGGCACATGGCAGCGTCCAATAGATGTTAGCTATTATTGTTAGCTGTTATATGTTTCTGACCTATTCTCATCAACTAATTCACCTGTTCCTTTGCCAATACCATACTATTTTAATAGCTGGGAAAGGCTCAACTCACTATTGTTCTTTTTCACAACTTTTTTCCTCTGAAATTTAATTCTCCATATAAAATTTAAAACATTTCATCCAATTCCAATAAAGAAAAAAAAAACAGCATTGATTTTAACCAATGGTGTTGGAACAAACTGGACGCCCATAATTAAAAATATAAATCTCAACCCTTACTTCACACTCTACACAAAAATTAACAAAAATGGTTGTTAACCTAAAGGTGAAAGCTAAAACTATAAAACTTCTAGAAGAAAATATAGGAAAACTGTATATGACTTTGGAGTAGGCAAAGATTCCTTAGATGGGACGCAAAAAACATGAATTGTACAAGAAAACATTGATGCATTTTTTGCAATGGGCACTGTGATTTGCTGCTAGACCTTTCTTCAGAAATTAAGTATTTGTGACCTCAGCTGTGAGAATTGCCACCAGCAGACAGCCCTCAGCCCTTGCAGATGGACCCTAAGGAACTGCCTTGGCTGAAGGGACTCCCCTGACCCTTACCCATGGGCACACTCATCCTTCAGGCATCTTGCATCCAGCGACATTCAATGGGGACATCAAGGCCTGGCCCTGTTGCCCCAACTCAGAACAGCTTTAGCAGGTCACCTTACCACCAGAACATCCCACAGGGTCTACTGAGGCACAGCATTGAGGCTGAGTGGGCCTGCCTCTTTCCCTTCTACATCCCTAGAAGGCACACCTCATACACCTTCTGCATTCTAATTTCCATCTCAGAGTTGGCTTCCTGGGAATCCCAACTTGAGATACTGGGCCTCATTAAAATTAAAATCTGTTATTTCAAGACACTGTTAAGAAAATGAAAAGGCAAGACACAGACTGGGAGAATACATTCACACTCAATACATATATTCATCAAAGACCTGTATCCATAACACACAAAGAACTCTTACAACTCAAGAATAGAAAGTCAACCCAATAAAAAGGGTAAAAGTTTTGAACAGAAACTTCACAAAAGTATCTATGGCTGTGGTCAGTGAGAACATGAAAGCCCAATAAGGATAAGAATATGCAAATGAGCACAGAACATCCTGTGGTGCCAGGGAGCAAGGAGGGGCCCCAAACCAAACCAAAAGTCACAGTGATGGGGCATGTATTAGTCAGTTCTCACACTGTTGATAAAGACATACCTGAGACTTAGTAATTTATAAAGAAAAAGAGGTTTACTGGACTCTCAGTTCCTTGTGACTGGGGAGGCCTCACAATCATGGCAGAAGGCAAAAGGCATGTCTTACATGGAGGCAGACAAGAGAGAATGAAAAAAAAATCAAGTGAAAGGGGAAACCCCTTATAAAATCATCAGCTCTCATGAGACTTATTCACTACCATGAGAACAGTATGGGAGAAAGAGCCCCCATGATTCAATTATCTCCCACTGGGTCCCTCCCACAACACATGGGAATTATGGGAGCTACAATTCAATATGAGATTTAGGTGGGGACACAGCAAAACCGTATCAGGGTGTGACAAAAGGACCCAGCAGCCAACTGAAGGAGCTCCCAATGGCCAAAGCTGGAAACTTTGAGTAACAAAATAATTAACTAAATAATTAATAATTAAATATGTAATGAAAATATTTAATAAAATAATTAGCTAAATTATTAAATAATTAATCCCATGAAGAATTGGATTATAATCCAAAGTATACAACAGATATCCATGAGTCCATACTGATATAAATAAATGATTATATAAATAAATACATGGGGAAGAATAGACAAATCCCCCACACAGGAGAACTCCAAATAATTTAGGTAGCCATTCTCCTGCAAGGAGATAAGCGTACTTTCCCTTTTTTAAAGTGTAGGCTACAGATAGTGACTCCCAAAAAATGCAGCAGAGAAAGAGAGGGGAAAATTACTTTATGGTGGAGAAACCTAACCAACACTGTCCCAGCCAGGTGACCAGGACGAATACCAGCAGTGATAAGCCATGCTGATAGTGTGCACCCTAGACAGGATGGGATGGGAATAGTTCTTTCCCTCGGCAATCTTCCTTACAAAAACACACTATTCCAGTAGGATCGTGAGGAACACATCAGATGAATTTCAGGAGAGGACGTCTTACAGTATACCTGACCAGTAATCAAAGTGTCAAGGTCATCAAAAACAAGGCAAGCCTGAGAAACCCTTGCACCTAAGAGGAGCCATTACTAATTGTAATGTGGTACCCTGGATGGGGTCCTGAGACAGAAAAGGTATGTCAAGACCGAGGATAGACCAAACATAGACTTTAGTTAATAACGATGTATCAGTATTGGTTAATGTATCAATAATTGCTATTTCCATAATAATTAATTATGACAAATATACCATGCTAATGTAAGATGCCAGGAACGATAAATTTTGTGTGGGTTGTAAGAGAACTCTCTGTGTTTTTTTCAACTTTTCTGTGAGTCTAAAACTATTCTAAAATAAAACCACTTATTTTTAAGAATCCATTAAGCATAACATTAGTCAACAAGGGAATGCAAGTTGAAACCACTATGAGACACCACTCCACAGACACTAGAGTGGCTTAAAGGAAAAGGATCAGCAATATCAAGTGTTGGCAGGGATGTGGGAATGCCTAAAACCCTCACACACTTTGGGAAGGTATGTAAAATCCCACAACTAATAGGAAAGCAATTTGATAATTTTTTATAAATCTAAAAAAAAACTTGATTATTTGACCCAGAAATTTCACTTGTAGATATTTGCCCAAGTAAAATGAAAGCATATGTCTATCCAAAGTCTTGTACATGAGTGTTCTTAGCAGTTTTCTTCATTATAGTCCCAAACTGGAAACAACCCAATCAATGTCCATCAGCTAGTAATGACTGGATAAATAAACTGCGGTCTATTAATGCAATGAGACACCACTCAGCAATGAAAAGGAATGAATGACTTATGCATTCTACAACATAGATGGACTTCAACAACATTATGTCAAGCAAGAGAAACCCGGCAGAAAAGGGGGTGTACTGTATGCTATATATATATATATATATATATATTTTTGAGACAGGGTCTGACTCTGCATCCCAGGCTGGAATGCAGTGGTGCAATCTTGGCTCACTGCAGCCTTACCCTCCCTGGCTCAAGCAATCCTCCCACCTCAGCTTTCCTAGTGGATGGACCACAGGCAAGTGCCACCACACACGGGTAAAATTTTTTTTTTTTTTTTTGGTAGAGATGGGGCCTTGCTACGTTGCCCAGGCTGGTGTCAAACTCCTGAACTCAAGTAATCCTCTAACCTCCATCTCCCAAAGTTCTGGGATTACAGGCATGAGACACCGTGCCTGGCCTGGATTTTTAAAACAGCATTATGGGAGCAGGGTGTGGAGGCTTATGCCTGTAATCCCAGTCACTTAGGAGGCCCAGGCGGGAGGATTGCTTGAGGCTAGGAGTTTGAGATTAACCCCGGACATCACAGCGAAACTTTGTCTCGACGACAACACCATCACCCAATTAGCAGGAGTGGTGGCGTTAGCCTGTGGTCCCAGCTACTCGGGAGGCTGAGGTGAAAGTATTGCTTGAGCTTAGGAGTTCAAGACCAGCCTGGGCACATGGCAAACCCCATCTCTACAAAAAGTACAAAAATTAGCCGGGTGCGGTGGTGCGAACCTGTGGTCCCAGCTACTCGGGAGGCTGAGACAGGAGAATCGCTTCAACCCGGAAGGCGGAGGTTGCAGTGAGCCAAGATTGCACCACGGCACTCCAGCCTGGGCGACAGAGGGAGACTCCAGCTCTTTAAGAAACAAACAAGCAAACCAACTAACCAACCCTCTGCAGGCGCCCTCTTCTGTCCTGGAGTGTTTCCTACTCTCTTCCTCCTCCTGTGTGCCTGTGTATGTACCCACAGCAGTAAACGCACGAGGTGTGTGTCTTACACGTATCTCCAGCCCCATCGCCATCTCTCTGAGCTCCAGACCCTTTTTACAAAAGGCCAGTTGACATCCTCACTTGGTGCCTCAAAAGCTTCTTCAACCCAACGTGCAGAAGCCAAGCTCCCCATCTTACACTCAGCGCAGGTTCCTGGTCCACCTTCGTCTGAAGGAACGGGAGGCCAAGGCTGCAGGCTCCTTCCCTCCAAGGGCTGTTCACACTCGGCTCACTTTCACTTGCAGATTTCTCTCCCTCCCGGGGAACGTTCTCCACCTTTGCCGCCCACAGTCCTAGCCTAACACGATCCTGTGCCCAGCCCCTAGGGCTGCGTAGCCTCTTTGCGTCTCGGAGTTAACCTGGGCACCCTGAATTCTCTCCTTCACAGCCAGGCTGACCGTTTTTGAAATGTTCACCCGCTCAGGACACCATTTGGTGGTTTCCCGGAAGAAGACCAGCTCCTGCGGCCCCCGCCCCCACCTCACACACCCGGGGCCTGGGCCTGGTCTCCCCCTCCATTCCCGGCATGGGCTGGGCTCCCTTCCAGTCCGGGCCTCAGCGCCCCTTCTTCACTCCCCTGCCTCCCTCCCTGCCCTTCCCAGCCAGGTTCACGTCGACTAATTTCAAATTCCAAATTCCAGACTTCAGCGCAAATATCCCCCCCCATGCTTTCCTTCACCATGCTCAGATCTAATTAAATCAAATCTTCCTATTCGCTACTCTCACGGCACCACACCTCCCTTTTGCTGGCACTTAATTGTAATTATGAATTTTTTTTCCTCAACGATTAGATTGATCAATCAACCATTGACATTTATGCACAGGGGCTTCTCGGTGGGCTTTATTTGACAAGCAAAGGACTGGCCCAATGGCCTTCCAAGCCCAGTCAGGCCTGCCCCAGCTGGCCCCGCCCCTTACCACTCCCATCACGTGACGGCCTCACCGCCTTATAAGAGGGAGCTCTCGTAACCGCGAGCAGTCAGCTTTCTGCCGGGCTCCGAACTAGGACTGCTGGGTGCTCCCTCCTACCTGCCTGGTAGGGGGCGCATTTGAGGGCGACGTCGGAGCCATAGCCGTGATCCCGTGGACACCTCCAGCTCCTCAGGCCTCTCCCCATAGAAGAGAGCCAGCTGCAGGGAGATCAGGTGTGTGTCTGGGTGTCCCTGAGGGGTGGGTAGAGTTTGCGTGGGTACAGGTGGGGACAGAATCCTCAGTGCTCTAGAAGGCCGAGGCCACATGCCTTGTCACCGCTGTCTTCTTCGCAACTCTGTTCCCCATCCTCCATCTTTTTTCTCTCTTCCGCTAAGGAGGGATCATTCCTCCAGGAGGCCTAAGTCTCCCCGGTACCAGCTTTGCCTGAAGAAACTGGGATAAGTTAATCAAGCTGCCTCTAGGCCAATCCCCGCTTGCTACTGGCTCCACTTGGAAATCCTTTAAAATGCGGAAGTCTCCCCCCACCCCAACTCCCACCTTCACAGGATCCCCCTGGCTGCGCCCCGCGGGCTCAGTGCAAATGCTCTGAGACCCGCGAGCGGCAGTGGCCCTGTAGGAGGGGGTGAGGTGGGGTCCGCATCGCTGCGTGACGCTTGGGAAATTAGGCTGTGGTTTAATACCCTGACAGACGCGTTTTCCTCCCCACCCACTCCCGCAGATTCCTCATGGAGGAACCAAGGCACTCGAAACGACCTCGCTTCCTGGCCCCAAATCAAGGTACCATCAAACGCCTACCACTCTTTTTAATTTTTTCCAGATTTTTACTTTACCTTTGGTATTGACTTATAGAACTTAGATATGCAAATGTGACATGTTATGAAATGCAGCAGCCCATGCTCCTTCTCAATCTCCCACACCTTTGGGACCACCACCTCCATCTGGGTAGCCATTTCTTCTAGCATTTCCTCTCATTCTTTAAATAACATGCGTACCCTACTGCTATTTCTTTTTCCGTTTAGACTTTATTTATGGTCTTCCCGCTAGAGTAGTGGAGTATTTAGCTGTAGTTCACAGATTCCCACCACCACCACCACTCACCCAGCCACACCCATCCCAGGGCCCACACCCTCTGCCCCTCCCCCACCGCCCAGGAGCCAGTAGGACACTAGGATTACTTTGCACCTCTTGCATAACTTGAGTTTTCCAGGACTTGACACTTCTCCTGGGTTATTATGTGTTTACTTATCACGAGTCTATCCCTCAATTCTTCCCCAATTACTTAAATTCAAACTCAATCAAGCGTTCTCTCAGTTTCACTTTCTCATAGCCTGCTCCAACCGGGACTGGCTGCTCTGAGTCACCTCCCAGCTGCCACTCCAGGATCTCCCTTCCACATCATCTGGGAAATTCCTTTTCCTCTTTTGAATTTTAACCCATTTCCTTTATCTGGTGTCTTTTTCTTTCTTATTTTACTTTTTCTCTTTGGAAGAGTGAGTCCTTACACTATGTCTCGATCTACGTATGATAAGCCAGGACTCTCACCTTGTTCTTTTCTGGAGGTATTGGAATTTGATGGCCATTGCCAAATTATTCTTGAAAACATTTCCCTTCATACACTGTCCTAAATCTTTTAATCTTGTCTAGTTTGATAGGCACATTACAAGAAAGCATGCCTTGAAGGGAAATTATTTAAGATCTTGCTTGTCTGCAAACATCTTCATTCTGATTCCTAAGGGATACTTTGGTTGGATATCAAATTTTGGGTGGGAAATCCATTTCCCTCGAAATTTTGAAGGCATTTTCTATAATCTTCTAGATTTAATTGCTGCTTTTGAGGTGTCTGATTTTTGAGACATGTTGAATCCTGACCCTTTCCATATGGCCTTTCTTCCCTTTCTCTTTCTCCCTCTCTGGAAGATTTTAAGATCTTTCGTTGTCACCAGCACTCTGGAATTTTATGGGGATGTGTCTCAGTAACAATACACTTCTAATTTTCTTATATTTTATCTTCCTTCCTTTCCATCATTGTGGGTTTTTGCTCTCTTTCCTGGGAGATCTTCTCAACTTTATCCTCCAAAATTTCCATGGAGATTTTCATTTCTGCTCTCATAATTTTAATTTCAAAAAGCTGTAGTTTTTCTGAATATTCCTTTTCAAAAGTACCCTATAATTGATTCATGGGCATAATTCCTTCTATCTCTCTGGGGATATTAATTATAGATGTTTTTGGAAAGTCTCATCTGTGGCATAAACTGTTTCCTCCAAGTTGGCTTTTCTTGTGTTATTGTTCTGTCTCTTATGTTAGAGCCTTTCCTCTGATGTTTGGTGATATCTGATTGCTGCTTATAGTTTAAAAATGGGACCCAGAAGAAGCTGTTGGGAGCTCCAAGCTCGTGGATGGGGCTTGTTGATTGGGTTCCACAGAATAGATATGGTTGGGCTATGAAATTGGGCAACCTTAGATGTCAGTTTCTTGGGACTTTTTCTTAGGCTACACAGGTTTCCCAGGGAAGGATCTTCAGATGATCTTCAATGCCTACTCTGTCATTGATAAAATTTCTGTAGACGTTTGTCTAGTTTCGGACTTCCTGTTCTGTTCCATTGCTCAATCATGTATCTGTGTGAACGCCTCCCCTCCCTGCCAAACTAGCTTATAGCTACCCCAGGCTTTTTTCCTCCTGGAAGCCATGCAACTACCCCCGGCCCCCCTGTCACCTGGAATCCTCTCCCTCCCTGCTATCCCTACTAATCCTCTCCCGCCTTTGCCTTGCTAAATCCCACCCATCCTTGATATCCCTGGCTTAGGTTAACTTCTCCAATAAGACTTTCTGATCATCTCCTTCCCAATACATGTTAAGATGCTTACTTGCACCTGATAGTAATGTAAACATTTTTCTTGTAGTAACTCAGTTCTTGTAAGGACCCAGGGGTTGGCATGTTATTATACTAATTTATGAAAAGGGCCACTGATGCCCAGATAAGTGAAGCTGCCTGGGAATACAACGCCAGCATTCTGGATATGGAGCCACCTCCCTTATGATACCTTTCACCTCCCAGCTGGTCACTCATTAGCATCATTCATTTTTAGGTGTTCTGTTTGTCTCTCCTACTGAGGTTTAAACACAGTGAAGGCAGGCAGTGTGTCATTTTTATTCAAACTCAGCCACTGTAGGGAACTGTAGACTCATTTACTTATTAGTAAAATGGCAATCATAATATCTGACTGACAAGGTCATTGCAAGGACTTGAGAGGCTCATGGAAAGTGCTGAGCCCAGGCTAGGCCCTTGGACAGAGTGCTCCTGAGGGCTCACCCTGCAGGCATCTCCCGACCCTCACTCTGTTTGCCCGGGTTCCCCTGGGCCCTCCCTGAACCCCTCTCCTGGTCTCCCTTCCTGAAGGCTTCCTGGGCAGCCCCTACTCCATCTCCTTACACTCTGCTTCTCTTTTAGCTTCAGGTGGGCCTCCTACAGAGCCAGGCTGCTCTGGTGTGGACCGTGAAGACCCTGTAGACCCAGTCCAACCGGCAAAACCCACTGCTTATGTGAAACCCATGAGACGGGAGCCCCCAGCTCGCGCACAGCCAGCTCCTCCTGCAGGAAGAGGCCAGCGTGGGGGAGGAAGCTGGCGGGCAGGTCGAGGCCGCGGCAGTGGGGCTGGGCTTCTCAGGGCCCTGGGCGAGAGAGTGGGGCCAGGCATGTACCTAGTCCATCTGAATGACCATGGAGAGCTAGGCTACCAGGGGCAACTGGAAGCCAGGCAGACCCCAGCCTTCTCTTTTACTGAAGCAGCTCTTATGCCTGGAATTGTGCAGGAAGGCCCCGGCCCCCATGCAGCCCAGCCTGAGGTGGGGCTTCAGGAGCCACCTCCTGCTCCTGGGCCTGTGGCTGTGGCCAGGCAGACCATGTTGGCCCCCTCTCCCTCCCTCAGTTTCAGGCCTCCGGGTGGCTCATCTACTTTGTGCATCGTGCAGACCTCTAATAGCACCATCGTGCAGAGTGTCCCAGTGTTCCCTGCCCACTCTGCACACTAACCTCTGTCATCCGTATTGCTGCCAGCCTTCTTTTCTTCCACCTGGTCTTTCCCCCTATCCCCAAACTCTAGCCCCATTTCTGCTCCACTCCTCCCTGCCCATCCCAGTCAGAGCCCTTACTTTGTGTTGTCATGAGCCTCCAAGTCCTCCTCCCAGGATCCTGACAGTAGTCCATCTGCTTCCAATTCCCCTCTTGCCTCCGCTTTGTATGTTCTGTCAAAAATACACATGCATGGAGTTCCTCAATGCTTATTCAAATAAACCAGCAGCTCTCTGAGTCCTTTTAATGTGCTTATATTAAAAGCCAATTAAAGATACTTGGGATGAAAAACAAGGTTGTTGGAATCCAAAGTTAATGTTGATGGTTTGAATCACAGAATAGATAGGACTGAGGAATAAAAACTAGATATTTGGGCAAGAGAGAGATGGACAGTGTGACAGAGCAGTCATCCATGGAGCTCTCATGGGATCCATTGTCCTGAGGATCCACAGATGATCTAACGTGGAGCTCCCCAGGGATCCATCATCCTGGGGATCAGATGTCACGTAACATGGAATTCTCCCAGGATCCATTGTCCTGAGGATCCACAGGTCATGTAATGTGGAGTTCTTCTGGGATCCATTGTCCTGAGGATCCACAGGCCATGTAATGTGGCTCTCTTACAGGATCCATTGTCCTAAGGATCCACAGGTCATCTAACATGGAGCTCTCCCAGGATCCATCATCCTGAGGATTCTCAGGCCATCTAACATAGAGCTCTCCCAGGATCCATCATCCTGAGGATCCACAGGTCATCAGAAATGGAGCTCTCCTGCAATCCATCATCCTGAAGATCCGCATCTCATCTTAGGATTCATCTAACATGAAGCTCCCCTGGGATCCATCATACAGAGGATACTCAGGTCATTTAACATGGAGCTCCTTCCGGATCCATTGTCCTGAGGATCCACAGGCATCTAACGTGGAGCTCTCCCAGGATCTGTCATCCTGAGGATCCACAGGTCACCTAACATGGAGTTCCCCCCAGGATCCATCATCCTGAAGATGAGAAGTCATCTAATGTGGAACTTCCCTGGGAACCGTCGTCCTGAGTATCTAGAGGTCATCTATCATGGAGCTCCCCTGAGATCCGTTATCTGTGGATCCACACATCATGTAACGTGGAGCTCCCTCACAATCTGTCGTCCTGAGGATCAGAGGTCATCTAACATGGAGCTCCCTCGGGATCCATCATCCTGAGTATCCAGAGGTCATCTAATGTGGAACTCTGCTGGGATTTGTCATCCTGAGGAGACACATGTCATGTGACGTGGAGCTCCCTCACAATCCATCGTCCTGAGGATCAGAGGTCATCTAACTTGGAGCTCTTCTGTGATCAGTTGTCCTGAGGATCCAGAGGTCATCTAATGTGGAGCTCCCCCAGGATCCATCATCCTGAGGACCCACAGGATCCATCATCCACAGGATCCAGAGGTCATCTAACATGGAAAGCCTGAACATTTGGATGACAGCAAAATACGAGGAAATTTTGGCTATATGAATTCTCCCGATGAAAGAAAGATGTGAATCCTGAGCGGGCTACAAGAATAACACCCTTTGGGAGTATGAAGTATGGTAGAGAGAACATTCCAAAAGCTGCCTGAGAGCTGAGACCTGCATGGAAAGCAGAATTAGGCTTACAGTAGATTTTGCATGGCAGCATCAATGACTGGAAAGCAATGGTGCAACATCCTTAGAGCTTCAAGAGGGAAGTAACTCTGAATCTAGAATTCTATGATCAGTCAAATGTTTTGGGAGTGGAGGAGGCAAGAAGTGTCAGCTCAAGGGCAAGGCCACATGAAGAGAGAAAGGGCCTACAGAAAAAGGAGAAAAAGTGAGACTCCTACTCAGACTGGACCTGAAGCCTGAGCTTCCCCTGAACTTAGAGTACACAACTTATAGTGTGCAAGCTACTAAACCCCTTTTCTGTTCAGGGCAGTTTGAATTCAGCTGTTATGTACAGCGAAAGTATGAATAATGTTTTTCAGCCAGGGAAAAAAACCCAAAAAACCTAGAAGTGGGATGCAAGAAGAATCGGAAAGCAAGGAAATTAGTTAGCTATATTATTAAGTCTAGATAAGTAAGATTCTGGAAGAAAGATGGGTGATCTGGAATTAAAATTCCAGAAGACTTTGACATAGACATTTGGGGCATGGGGGACTTCAGAAGGAACTAGACATTATTAAAGTTCTTGTCTAGTTCCTGGAGATGACATACAGGCTGAATATAAGAGAACAACGAAATTCTAGACTCTGACACGTTTATAAGTTGAAGTGTGTGTCTCCATTGGGAACCACGACATGAGTTGGAATAGAATGTAAAATTTTGAACAGATTAAGGAAAAGGGGGATCAAAGAAAATTTGATAGTTCAAACAAAAGGCATGGGGGGTTAATATAAACAAGGAGAGTGTGACATACTTACGGTGCTAAATAAGGAATCAGTAATTAGATGGCTTTGTCTTTAGCTTCCTCCGGGCTTTAACGGGAATATTTTAAACATTTCACCATTAAGCAAGATATTTGCTGTAGGTTTCTCATAGATGTTTGATAAAGTTGAGGTAGTTCTCATCTTTTTAGAGTTTGATAAAAGGTGTATTATGAATTGGATTTTATGTTTTATTAAGTAGGCTTTTATTAGCTGATTTTGAGTCACTTGTAAGAGAAAATGTCCAAGTAGCATGAAGAGAATTTTTCCCAACAAAAATTTTTGTCTTGTGTATTCAATCCTCTTAAATAAACCCTTCCCTTTGACTTTTTTTTTTACTATAGCTCTTTTACTAAAATTTCACAAATTATGAATATAAAATGTCTTTACCAAAACCAGAAAAAAGAGACAAAAGGTAGAAAAACAATGTTGGCTGTCTCTAGTCTTCATTCTTATTGTATCTTTCCCCATAATCACACGAGTCTATATAAGCAAATGTGTATATTAAAAGCATCATTTGTGGTTTGATTTTACAAACCCCCGGCATGCCATCCACCAGGGGTCATGCTGAAGTGACTACAGGGTCCAGGCAGGTAACTCGGGTGTGGCAGATGTGGTGGGGACCAGCGCCTCTCTCTCTTTTTTTTTTTTTTTTTTTTTTGAGACGGAGTCTCGCTCTGTCGCCCAGGCTGGAGTGCAGTGGCGGGATCTCGGCTCACTGCAAGCTCCGCCTCCCGGGTTCACGCAATTCTCCTGCCTCAGCCTCCCAAGTAGCTGGGACTACAGGCGCCCGCCACTACGCCCGGCTAATTTTTTGTATTTTTAGTAGAGACGGGGTTTCACCGTTTTAGCCGGGATGGTCTCGATCTCCTGACCTCGTGATCCGCCCGCCTCGGCCTCCCAAAGTGCTGGGATTACAGGCGTGAGCCACCGCGCCCGGCCACCAGCGCCTCTCTTGAGCCCATGCCCCCTCCAAAGTGGGCAGAGGTGACTTAGTATTGAAGCACAGCATGAACCCCAGTGAGCACACTGCAGTGGGAGCTGCTTCTTGGGTTGCCACTGGGGTCTGTTATGCATAAGCCTACAAGCACCCTCTCAAACATCCTACGCTCGTGCCACTATCTCCTTGCTGGGCATCTGTCTGCAAGATGCACAGGCTTTAGGTTGTGCAGGCAAAGGTCTGCTAATAGGCTGCTTCCAGGGTGCTTCTACTGCCAAAATGCTTCACTAAACATTTGTACATGGTGTAAGACAGGGTCTCATTCTGTTGCCCAGGCTGAAATGCAGTGGTGCAATCACGGCTGACCACAGCCTCCACCTCTCGAGCTCAGGTGATCCTTCCACCTCAGCCTCCTCAGTAGCTGGGACCACAGGCATGCACCACTATGCTTGGGTAATTTCTGCATTTTTTATAGAGACAGGGTTTTGTCATGTTGTGCAGGCTGGTCTTGAACTCTTGAGCTCAAGTGATCCACCCACTTTGGCCTCCCGAAGTGTAGTGTGAGCCACTGCACCTGACCTTGTGTTTTTTAACTTTGTAAAATAAATTCTCAAAGTGAGATTCCTATGCCAACCAGTACGGCCCTATTTTATTTTATTTATTTTTTAATTTAACTTTTAAGTTAAATTAGACCCCAGTGTATGTTGTTCCCCTCTATGTGTCCATGCGTTCTCATCATTTAGCTCCCACTTATAAGTGAGAACATGTGGTATTTGGTTTTCTGTTCCTGTGTTAGTTTGCCAAGGATAATGGCCTCCAGCTCCATCTGTGTCCCTCCAGAGGACATGATCTCATTTTTTTTTGTCATGGCTTCATAGTATTCCATGGTGTCTACCACATTTCCTTCATCCAGTCTATCATTTATGAGCATTTAAGTTGATTCCATGTCTTTGCTATTGTGAATAGTGCTGTAATGAACATATGCATGCATGTGTCTTTATAATAGAACGATTTATATCCCTTTGGGTATATACCAGTAATGTGATTGCTGGGTTGAGCCATATTTTATTTTTATAGATACTAAGAAATTGTATTCAAATTAGGTGGCATCAATGCCAATTCCAACCTGCAGTGATAAGGGCACCTCTTCCCCACACTATCTCCCCAGCAATAAATGTTGGGACTCTATAATTTTTGCCAATCTCTTAGATGAAAGTATATTATCTCATTATCGTTCTAACTTGAATTTTCTTGGCTACTAATAAGGTTTAGTGTCTTTGTATGCATTTATTGGCCACTTTTGTATCTTTTTCTGTTAGTTGCTAATATATCTTTTTTACACAATTTTTTTGTTGGATTTTATATCTTTTGTGTATCAATTAGTAGGAACTCATGTTAGAAATTCATAAGTGCTACAGGTGTTTTTCCCATTCCAACCTTTCTCTTTTGGCAGGACTTGGGCTGTCTTTGGCCTGCCTGTGTGCCCAGCCTCAGCTCATAGCAGACCTCTTCCTCTGGCCCCGTTCCCTAGGTTGGTTTTCTGACTCCTGGCCTGGGCTCTGCTCCTGCCACCTGAGGGCCAGAGGGCCACATCTGCCACACAGGTGTCCACCTTGCAGTGACAGCAGTGTGGGAAATGATTTTCTAATCATTTCAATATCACTCTCAGTTGTTTCAGGATTTGATCATAGTTCATGATAAACTTGGCCAATTCACAGGTCACTGCTAGCTCAGTGCTCCCCCACTCCTCTTTCTTTGTGGGGTCACCTACATTCTTGGAGGGACTTGCCAAGATGCAGGCATGAGGAGGCTCTTCTAGTCCTAGGGAGACATCAGCATTCTAGATCCACTGCTGAGAGGTCTTTCTACTTCTATTCATGGCACTCTGGGTCCTCTGATCTTCTTCCAGATGACTCGAGTCTGCCCAGGAGAACTTGGATGACCCCCTGCCCTCAGGTGGGTAGAGACCCCACTGTCTGCCTCAGGGCCCTTTGCCAAGGTGCCCCCCAAAACCCATTTACCTCCACTCTTTACTCAAAGATGGCAGGATTCTAGCTCATGACCCATTGTCCTGCTTTTCTTTGCTTTGTCATTTCCCTCCCACTTCTATCCACTTCTGGCCAGAGGGCAAGTCCCAGGCCCCGCTCCTGCACCAAACACTCCCACTTTCTCCCCGACTGTCTCCCTCCCTCCAGCTCACAGGAGCTCATCTTGTCCTGCAGAGTGGGTAGAGTGTGGCCCAGATAGTCAAAGATCCTTTTATGCTTCTTCTCTGTAGCAAAACCTTCTCCCCAGAGTGTGCTTTGAGGCTTTGGATTTGGGTAAGCAAAAACTAGGATTTCAAGACTCTTTTTTTTTTAACTATAGATTTCAATAGTATATTTTGCAAGTTGAAAAAAGCACATATCTCAGCAGCACAGAATCACAAAATCATTTATATCACTTTTGGATTTAAAATCGTGTTGTAGTCTTGCACCACTGATGGACTGTGAGTGTAGAATGCTATTAATGGGTCTAGGAAGTTGGGAGAATGACTGGGGTAACAAGTGGGATCACATTTAGTGGCTCATAACCGAAAACAAAGATAACACTGGCAGAAACAAAACCTAAGCTTATTTCTCTCTCACATGGAAGAAGTTTGCTGGTTTGAAGTCCAGGTCTTATAGGGCAGCTTTGGGGGCTTTCGTCTTGGTGCTCCATTCTACGATGTGTCTTCTAGTCGCACAATCACCTCATGGTCCAAAATGGCTGCTAGAGTTCCAGACATCATGTCCTAGTTCCAAGAAGCAGGAAGTAGAGGGAAAAAAACCCCCAAAACTAAAAAAGTGCAACCTCTGAGTCATCTTTCTTAGAGCAGCCTTCCTGGAAGTCTAGCAGTAGTACTCTTTCCCTTCTGGCTCAGCAGCCCAAACTGTTACATGGTCATGCCTGGCTGCAAGGGAGGAAGAGAAACAAAATTTTTGAATCATTGCTGTTCCAAGTAATATCAGGGTCTGTCTTAAGGAAGAAGTGGAGAATGGATACAATGTAGCAAATAGCAGTCCCCAACATAACAGAGTAAAATAAATTGCAAAGAAAATAAACATCTGTTAATGCTTTAAAAATATTCCACCACAAACCATTTTTGTCAGGCATCCAAAACTATTAGTAATATTTTGAATAGAAGTGGGTTTGTTGAACATTTAATTTAAGTAAAAAATATTTTTACAATGTTGAGTCTTTTTATCCAAAGCTAAGGTATCCAAAATGCATGTCTCTGTTTACTCACTTGTGGAGAAAGGAGGGGCTGACTATTTTGGGGAGAGGGTTAGCTCCTCAACAACCTTCTCAGTTTTATTAGTATTGGGCACATTGCTATGAGTCTGTTTGGCTTTCTGTTTATTTCTGAGTCAAGTCTGTCCCCAACACAGCTTCCAGGCTGCTCCCCCTCCACCATCTTGTTGAGTGGCTCTCAATTCTGCATATCCATGGGAATCAGCTGGGGAGCTGAGAGGTGGATAATGGCCAAACCCTTTCAAACCACCTCAGAGGGGTGGATTTCACCAGCTTAGGGTGTGGCCTAGGCAACAGGGTATTCAAAACCTCTCTAGATGACTTGTATGGGTGGGCAACTTTTGCTATTCCCTAGTTCCCTGGGATTGTCCCTTGCAGTCTATCCTGAGATGGCTGCTAGGAGGGCTGAATGAATCCTACAATGTTGGCAAAGGTCCGGACTACCTTGCAAGGCAAAGAGAGCATGCACACATGAAATCCTAGACCATTTGCCTTCACTTTTACATAAAAGATCCAGCTGCAGAATGGTACCGAAATTAATGCTTCCATCCAGAGCTCACACTTCTCCTCCCTGAAGAACAAAATTTGGCCAAACCCTGAGCTGATGAAATCAGGAATATGTGCAAAAGGAGTATGGGGTGCTTTTTCTTCAGAGTCTGAGGGTCTAAGTAGTCCCAATGATTCAGGATACATTCTAGAGGAATGCAGGCTGAAGATGGTTGGTTACCCACCTGGAAGAGAGGACAGAGGAGGGAAAAGGTTTTTTCCTCTTTCTCTACAGTCTGAGGGTCAACGGAGTCCCAGTGATTCAGAATACACTCAAGGGGAGTGCAGGCTGAGGATGGTTGGTTACCCATCTGAAATGAGGGAAAAAGGCATTCCTTTGTTCCTTTCTCCTTCCAGTGAATACCCAGGGTATGTGAGGGAGAGAAAAAAAGGTGTCCCATTTCTTTCTTCTGACCTTATATCCCTGAGTTCCAGTGACCTGTGCAGGTGCTGACTGTGGGTGCAAGCGCAACCTTCACACATGAAGGCAGGGGAGGCATAGCCAGCAGGAATATTCGCACTCACTGTGTGGTGCCTAAGCCTCCCGCTGTCAGTAACCTTTGAGTTCCCTAGACCTTATCTGTGCCATGGATGTGAGCATGACCTCCATCCATGAAGCAGAAGGGCCCTAATCAGCAGGAATTAGTCATACTCACCTGTGCTGTGCCCTAGACTTCTGCTGTATTATGCCTTTGAATCCCTCAGATCTAGTTTTCCTTTCTAGGGCCTCAAACCAAAACTTGGGAAAAAGATGCCTCAGGAAGGTGTATGGATCCATTAAATTAGTCTCAGTTGGCCCTCACCAAATTGCAGCCAGCAACCAGCAAGGCAACTCCTCCATTGCTTCCCTGTCATAAACAGGTGAAGCTATGGGACCAGGTCCTCCTCAAACGAGGGAGAGAAAGGGAGTCCTGGAAACTGGGGACCTGGTCTCCTGAGATGCCTCCCAAAATTACAACTTAAGTGTAGGGGAGGGGAAGGTGCCTGGGGAAAAAGCCTCTTGTCCTATGCATATGGGTTCCTTCAGTAGGGGAAAGAAAACTCTCAATTGTTATATTCTTCTTGCTTCCAAGAATGGACAGGCACCACATTGTTCTCATTTACCCTCCTGATGACTAAGCCAAATGCTCATTCTACCCAGCAATATTTCTGTGGCTTACAACAACATTCTTAACATTTAACAGGAGAGGAGACAGGAACCATGACAGCTGGAAAGAAAGAGAGAGAGAGAGAGAAAGAGAAAGGAAGGCAGGCACCAGAGGTCCTTTTGCTGACACCCTAACAGGTGGTTGGGGACTGGAGTTAGTCCAGGGGCTTTCAGACAACACCAAGGTGTAGCCTCAGCCAGATACCTTCAATTGCCCTAGGACCTCCTTCTGGTACCACGGGACAGCCAGACCTCTGCGAAGGGAAATTGGTTTGGAACAAAGCCAACATTCCCAACACCTGAGGGTGATGGTGTCCTTTCCAGCAAGCCTGCCCTCTGTGTCATAAGTTTGCCAGCCGAGCTAGTCACTTTTAACTGGCTGACAGATGCTCAGTATTTTTCTTTCATTTTAACTATTGTGGAGTTAAGGACTCTGAAAAAAAGGACAAAAAGCAGATCCACTTTTACTCACCCTTCCACAGATCCCACATCAGCCCCCAAAATGTTATGGGATCTTTTGTGTGTCACTTTTCTGGCTAGAAACCTCTGTGGCTGGTGGCACCTTTGCCTGAGTTCTTGCCCTGCATCCAGGAAGAATGAGGTATGCAGACAAGTGGAGGGTGAGCAAGATAAAAAGGAGCCTTACTGAGTATTAGAACAGCTCAGAGGAGACCAACAGTGAGTAGCTCCTCTCTGTAGGCAGGTTGTCCCATCCAGTATTCAGCTCTCAGCAGAGAGGAGGCCTGGAGTGGGTGGAGTGGGTGGCTCCTCTCTGCTGGCGGGTCACTTCAGTGAGTGTTCAGCTCTCAGCATAGAGGAGACCCTAGAGAGCGTGGCTCCTCTCTGCAACTGGTTGGCCCCATCTCTGCTGCTCTCATCAGAAAGGAAGCCTTGAAGAGTGAGGCTCTTCTCTGCAGCAGGTCATCCCAATGTCTGCTGCTCCCAGCAGAGAAGAGGCCCTGGAGAGGGTAGCTTCTCTCTGCAGCTGGTAGTCCCGATGTCTGCGCAGGTCTCTGAAGCTCTCAGCAGAGAGGGTAGTTCCTCTCTGCAGCTGGTTGTCCAGTTGTCTGCTCAGCTCTGGCTGAACCAAAGGCTTTCATGGGCTTCAGAGGGGAGGAAGTGCATGTGGATTGGTCCGTGGGCGGCTATGTGCTGCCTGGAAAAGGCACCACAATTTCCCACTCTGGTTGGGCCTCACCAGGGACTGTCCTCTTCCACTCAGGAATCTGCTTGCCTACTGCGGCCCTTCATGGCACCCATGCCTGGCCCTGACTTTGCCCTGAGATTGGAGCAGGCACTGACAGCAGAGAGAAGCCAGCAGGAGCAGGCATTTCTGAGCCTGCCAGGGCAGGGGGCCTTCCAAGAGTTCAGGGATGCCTGAATCGGCACCTGTGGTTTGTGCAGATGCAGTTTAACATAGGGAGGGGTGTTGTGGTGGGGGAGCACAAGGCTTCTGCCTGCCCTGTGGAGCAGGAAGCCCAGATCTACAGCCACAGTTTGGGTGGCTGCAGCTGCGCCCAGGAGGACAGGGCTCCTGCCTGATCCCAGCCCCCAAGAGCACAGGGAGGCTCAAATCTGCAGCCACCCAAGTTGTGTGCAGCCCTGCCTGGGAGGGTGGGGCTCCTGCCTGTTCCATGGAGTAGAAGGCCTGGGTCTGCAGCCACAGGTTGGGCAGCTGCAGCAGCACCCAGGGAACTCCTGCCCCAACTCAGAAGGGGTGGAGCTCCCACTTGTCTCTGGCTCTTGCCGGCTCCATGGAGTGTGCATCCCCTGCCATGCCTCAGTGCTGCAGTTGGCATGATGGCAGTGGCAGGCTGTCTGGAGCAGCCTGCTGCTGCCATCACTTTGGTACCTTGCTTTATTTTGGTCAACATTATATCTTTGATATTATTTCATGCTGAAAAATTCCATTTTATGAATTGAAGAAAGTGTAAGTATTCCAGCCTTACCAACAGCAACATTTTTCCTTTTTTAAATTTTAGTCCCAAACAATGTGGCAACAAACACCATCCCACATGTCTTCCGGGTGCACATGAATGGGAATCTCTCTAGAGTGGGTACCTAAAAGTTGAGTTTCTAGATAGTAACACAAGTGCATCTTCAACTTTTCTAAGTACCTCCCAACTGCCCTTCCAGGCGGGCCATGCCCACTGGCCCCCAGCCAGCAGCAGTTTACACATCCCCTGTCCTTTGTCAATGCTTGGTACAGCTATACTTCTAAATTTATATATGATTTTGCATTTCCCTGATGAGCAGTGATATTGAGCAACTCATCTAATGATCCTTGTCCATTCTTGTTCTTTCTGGAATTCCCCTCTCATGCTTAGTCCACCACATCACTAACTTTAAAATGGCAATAATAACATCATTTCCCCAGCAAGTGCTATTAATTAAATGAGACCATGAAGTGAAGTGTTTGGAATGAGTCTGTGCCCCCTTGTTGTGGGTGCTAAGTACTCTATACGTTTGTACTGTGATGCACATATGCATACATTATATCAAGGTTTTACTTGAAGCATTTATGTGTTCTATATCCTTAATTAACTTCTTGTTATTTTTCTTATCTATCAATTTCTGAGAGACAAATACTATAATCTCCCACTATGAGTAGGAATTTGTTCATTTTTCCTTATTTTTTTGTTCCAATTTTTGCTGTTTAGTAATTTAAAGGTTAATTGTTGAGGCACACAAGTTCAATTTTTTATATCTTTCTGGTAAATTCCTAGTGAAGTTTTCGTGTTATCTTTATATACTATCTTTTTTCCCAACAGTACTTTTTTAAAAACTTATATGCTTAAATACTTTTTAAAGTTTACAATAGATTTATATTAACATAGCTATAGTTGTGTTCAAAATTTATTAGCAATTACTTAATTTATTTTTTTCATCCTTTCATTACTAAAGTTTGGACTAATTTGTTGTGAGTGTGGTTCCTATAATTAGCACACTTAAAAATTTAGCTTTATCTCACCTGAGGGTTTGTCTTTAATTTGAGGGTTTAGTACTCGCATTTACTTCTGTCATCTCCTTTGGGGGCATTTACCATGGTTTTCCTTTGTGCCTCTCCCACTATCTTTCCTACCTTCCACTGGTATGATTGAATTTTTTTTCTTTCTGCATTTCACCTTTTCTGGTTTCAGAGTTCTCCAGTGTATTAGGCTGAACCATATGAAATTGCCATTATGTTGGTCAAAATTAGTCAGATATCAGCAATTTCATATGGTTCAATCCAACACCTCTATTCTTTTAATGATTACTCTTATTTTTTAACATACATACTTGACTCAATGAAGTCAACAGTTAGTGAAGCTCTACCTTCTCTTGAATGCTATAAAGACCTTAGAATATGTTTACTCTGATAATCTTTTCCATTTTACATGGTATTATTATGTAATATTTTAGTTTCATTTCATCATCACCAACATAATCCTTATTAATACCATTGATATTTACTGTCAATACTTATTTCACTATACATCTGTGTTCTGCCAATTCATTTGCTGTCTTTTCATGCATTACTCTTTTGTTTGGAGCTCAATTTCTCCCTTCCTGAAGTACACTCTAGAGATTTTTAGCAAAGAACTTTTAGCGATAAACTCTTTCAGCCTATCTGAAAATGTCTTTGTTTCACTGTCATTCTTGAATAATTATTTGGCTGGATATAAAATTCTAGTTTGGCGTCTATTTTCTTTCAGTACTTTGAAGATATTTTTCTGTTGTTTTAAGCCACAGTTGCTGCTGTTCAGAAACTTCTTGATAGTTCAAGATTTGTTCTTTGGAGGCAAACTTTTGTCCCTCTCTGGGTTCTTTTATAATTTCTTTTTGTCTTTAGTGTTCTGAAGTTTCTCTATGAGAAGTTCATATGTAGAAGACAGTCTTCAGTGAGAAACTGAAACCCTGGGCCTCACCTCCTGAGGACCTGGAGTCTGGTTTTAACTTTGCCTCTTGATGTGGGGACCATAGGCCAAGAAGCTGACACAGGGTGGGTTCCTGGAACACCCACCCTCAGCACTTAGTATAAACCCAAATAAAGCCACAATGCAAGGGTGCTTTAACAACCTAGCCACCATAAAATTCCCACAGTAAATACAAAGCTTGCTTAGAATCAACCAGACATGCACACACACGGACACCCATAAAGAAACTATCCCATCAGGATTGACATTTTACTGGTTCAGGAAAGATTTGTTTCCTGAAAAGTTTAGTTAATTAAACAATCTGAGAGAAGTTATTAAACAAGAATATTCAAAATGATTAAAGGAATGAAAGAAGGCTTATAAATTAGAAATAAAAACTAAATGACACCCTGTAACAGCCAATTTAGAAAAGAACAAAACATATTACAGTGGAGCCCTTTACCCACAGGGATGCGTTCCAAGACCTTCACTGGATACCTGAAACTGTGGACAGGACAAAGCCTGTCTATAATGTGATTTTTCCTGTTCATGCATACCTATGGTAAACTTTAATTTATAAATTAAGCACAGTGAGAAATTGGGAACAATAACTCTTAATAAAATAGAACCCAACCTCCTAAGTGCTGCTTAGTACTTCTTTTTGTTCACACTTAATCTTTAATGCTTATTGCTTATGGCATAAACTGTATGCTCCAAGTATTTCAGGGCTCTGGCTTTATTTTGTGGCAGGGTCAGGGAGTGCCAAACTGCTTTATTGGAGGAATGGAATACAAATGTAAGAGGAAAAATATAAATGGATGTTTTTGTGCAGGGTAAAAATCATATAAAGTTCTGGTTACCTAGTGCTGTGCAACAACTGCCCCAAAACTTAGTGTCTCAGAAGCACTGCTCTATTCCACTCATAGTTCTATAGGGAAGGAACTGAGGGAAGGCTCTGCTGGGCAGTTCATCTCTGCTCACACAGCACCAGCCAGGTGGCTAGGACTGCTGATCCACCGCCAAGGCAGCTTCTCACTCGTGTGTTTTAAGATTCATTGATTACAGGTGTAGCTATAGGTCATTAATTTTCATTGCTATATAATATCCAATATCTGAATACACCTCAATTTGCTTGTCTATTCTCCTATAGATGGGCTTTGGTTGTTTCCAGTTTCTTTTCCATTATGAACAGTGCTGCCACAATCGTTTTGGTAGATAATTTCTGGTGGACTTGTGCACATTTTTTTCTTGGGTATATATCAAGGAGTAAAACTGCTGGATTGCAGTGCTTGCAAATGCTGAAATGTATAAGATTACACTGAAGTGATGATCCCAAATTACATTCCTGTTGGCCATGTTTGAGAGATCCTGTTGATACATATTCTCTTAAACACTCAGTGTCATCAAACATCTTTGGTTTTGCCAGTAAAATAGAATCCCGGGGTTTGTACCTACGTATATGAATCACTGGTAGCACTTGGGATCTGCAGACATTGTCTGTTCTGTGCAGCAGCTGTTTTAATTTTTGCCCATTGAGTTTTTTCCTTCTTGTTCTTACTGACTTGAGATGTTTTCTGTTTCACCTTGATACAGATTCTTTGTCAGAAATATGTTTTTTAAGCATATTTTCACACCTTGACTTACCTTTTTACTTGATCTTAATTGTCTTTCTATTTACAGAAGTTCTTAATCACAGTGTTTTCAAATACATCAGTCTTTTTCTTTTATGTTAGCACTTTTTGTACTTTAAGAAATCCTTTCCTATCTTGAGATCGAAATTCTTACCTATATTTTCTTCTAAAGATTTTTAAATTTTGCTTTTGACATTTGCTTTGACATAGTTCTTAATCTATCTGGTGTGGATTTCAGTGTGCAGGTATAGTGTGAGGTGGAAACATAATTTAATTTTTTCATATGGGTAGCCAATTATTCCAGGTGTATTTGTTGAAAAGTCACTTCTTTCTCCACTGGTTTGCCATTCAATTTGACAACCTATGTCATACATAGGTGCATGGATCTGCTTGGGGATGCTCTATTTGTTCCATTGGCCAATTTGTTTACTCCCGCGCTAATACTACACAGTATTCTTTACTAAAACTATAATAAATCAAACCTGACAGAGTAGCCTGCCTTTCTTCTTTAGAATTGTCTCAGATATTCTTGGCCTTTTGTTCTTTGATTTTAATTTTAGTAGCAAACTGTCAAGTTCTGTAGAAGATTCTGTTTTTATTGGAGTGGTGTTAAACCATTGCATAAATTTGAGGAGATTATATTATAATAACAAGTCTTCCAATTGATAAACATGGGCTATCTCTTCATTTATCTAGGTCTGTAAAAATAAATGGGGCATATTTAAGTGGGACATGATAGATGCGTCAGGGAAATTTTACAAATTCCTTTTTACAGTCCTTTACAACTTTTGTTAGACTTATTTCCAATTACATTTGTAATTTTTGTTGCTACAAAGTGGTAAAACATTTGTCAGTGTCTTGATGCTGTACAGAAATGCAACTGACTTTTGCATATGGATCTTATATTCAGCTACATGTCTAAGCTCTCCTAATATTGCTAGTACTTTGTGTCCAAATTGTTTTTGATTTTCTAAAAATAAAATCATAAAATCTGCAAAAAAACAAAAGATGACTGCTTCAGTTTTTCCTTTCCAATCCATATGTATTCAATTTTCTTTTTCTTGTCTTATTTCACTGTCTAGGATCTCTAATATATTACCAAGTCAAAGTGGCAGCTTTGAGCATGCTTATTTTTTGCCTGATTTTAAAGAGGCTGCCTGATTTTAAAGAGTCCTCTTTGCCAGCAGCCCCTGGTGGGATTTTCCCTGGCAATCTCGTTCATGTGCATCCCTCCAATGAGGATGATGACTCCTCAAGCTGCTTTCATCCAGTGGTCCCCGTGGCCCCAAGTCGTGTATCTTATGGACGACTCAAGACTTCCTTTGGACATCACATTGTTCACCATGTTCAAAGACAAGTGCATTATTGTTCCCACAGTGCTGCTGTTCCTGCAGCATTCTCTGTATCTGTCAACGTGTGATAAGTATAATATTTGGGCTTTGACCTCAGTTCCTGACACTGAGCTCCTAAGGTTAGGAGCTTTTGTTATTTTGTTTTGTGTCCCCAGTTCCTGCCACAGAGCTTCTAGGACCTTGTAGTTTCCTAAGTGATAGAGGTGATAGGAGTGTCTCTTGTTATTCATAGCAAGCCACTTTCAACCGTATTTGAGTTTATGCTAACAACGTGAATAGCCTCAGGATGGAGAGGGACTGGTTGCCAGGGGAACCAAGGCTGTGATTAGAAGGTTGGAACTTTCAGCCCCACCCCCAGATCTCCAAGGAGAGAAGACTAGAGATTGACTTAATCATGAGTGACCAGTGATCTAATCAATTATGTCTATGTAATGGAACCTCCGCAAAAACCCTAAATGGAGTTCAAAGAGCTTCCAGGTTAGTGAATGCATCCATATGACAGGAGCATGGTGCACCCCAGACTCCAAGGGGACAGAAGCTCCTGTGCTTGGGACTCTTCTCAGCCTAGCCCTATGTACCTCTTCCTCTGGATGTTCATTTCTATCCTTCATAGGTAATAGTAAGTAAAGCGTTTCAGAGTTCTGTGAACCATCCTAGCAAATTATTGAACCTGAGGAGGGAGTCATGGAAATCTCCAATTTGCAGCCTAGTTGGGTGACTTGCAATGGATATCTGAAATAGGAGCAGGATTATGGGACTGAGCCCTTCACCTGGTGGGTCTGCACTAACTTCCAGTAGTCAGTGTCAGAATGAAATTACATGGTAGGACACTGTATTAGTCTGTACTCACATTTCTATAAAGAACCACCTGAGACTGGTTAATTTATGAGGAAAAGAGGTTTAATTCACCCACAGTTCCACAGGCTGTACAGGAAGCATGGTTGGGAAGCCTCAGGAAACTTACAATCATGGTGGAAGGTGAAGGGGAAGCAAGCATGCCTTACCATGGTGGAGCAGGATAGCTTGAATGGGGAAGGGCTACACACTTTTAAACAACCAGATCTTGTGGGCACTCACTCACTATCACAAGAACAGCAGTGGGGAAATCTGCTCCCATGATCCAATTGCCTCCCACCAGGTACCCCCCACAACACTGGAGATTATAATTCAACATGAGATTTGGGTGGGGACGCAGAGCCAAACAATATCAGACACCCAGTTGATGTCTGCAGAAAATTGGAGAATTGCTTGCTGTGAAAAACCCACATATTTATTTGGTGTCAGAAGTATTGTGAGCAGAAAAAGAGTTTTTATTTACAGTTCCTCCCCCACCCACCCAGAAACCTTGCCATTGCCCCCATTCCCTCTCTTTAGTCACCAACATCCCATATAGTCTACTTCCAAAAGAGATCTTAAAGGTGTCCACTTCTCCCTCTTCCTACTGTGAATTCACCACACCTTCCCTGCATCAGGCGCCAGCACCTTCCTCCTGGGTCAAAGCTACATCCCTCCAACTTGTCTCCTTGCCATCACTTTGCCTCTCCCAATTTCTTCCCCACCGTTTGGTTGAATAATGCTTTCTAAAATACATAGAATAGCAAACCTCTCCCTAGCCCCAAAGCCTTTAATTCTCGTTCGTCTTGAAGTGTCTACAAAGGAACTTCTCAAGCCCAGCCTGCTAGATTATCCACCCCTTCTTTCTCCACGGCCCCCTCCCTAGAGGATCTCACTGAGGCACGCACCCTGCATAGACCAGGGTGAAATAGACCCCTTACACTCTAGTCTATTACTTAAGCCCTGACTTGTGTCCATGTAATGTGAACTCACCTGCTCTACCACTCCTTGGAAAAGACTGACAGAAGGCACCAATGAAAGGAGAAGATGCTTAACATGTTGCCTGGCATCTGTAAATATTGGCCACAAGCAGTTCTCACAAGAATCCTGAGTGAGGTTACCTTTTTTTCTTTTTTTTCAGCAGCCCAAACTGAGGCCAGTGGGTTGAAGGGATAACTGGAAAGCAGGAACAGGGAGGGGCAGGTAGTTCCTGCTGCGGAGTGAAATCTCACATGTGGGAAGGTGGGAATGCCATTAGTCTCTGCCACAAGGGGCTGTGGGAGGTGGCTGGGAGACAGCTACAGGCCCTTCACTGACCCCACTCAGGGCCAGGGACCAGCAAGGGAGAGCTTGTTCCCTCTCCCAGCACTCTGTTCTCTCCTCTCCCCCACTAGCCTCCCTATCTGCTGACATCGTCCTGGCATGGGCATGGTCTTCATGGTCCTACAGACCTGGGCCTGCATCCTGGCCCTGCCCTGGGCTGATCATGTACTCAGCTCATTGCTAAACACAGCAGTGCCCGGCCTCCTTGTCCCCACCGACAGCTACTATGATGGTGCCAACTTTAGGGCAGGAGGGAAACCCTCTCTTTGTCTTAAGCATCATCCTCTGCCCCAGGGTGGGCCCTGCTCTGGCACTTGGGAAGGCAGTGTTATTTCCCGTTCCTGTGCAGGGCCCTGCCTGCCTTCTCCCGGCTGCCGCTACCGCTTCCTCTCATTAAAACGTCCTCCTGCCCACGGGCAGCCCCTTCCTGCACTCTTAAGCTGCCTGTCCCTGTCTGCTCGGTGAAGTGGGCAGGCTGGATTATTAATAGTAACATTAATAACCCACATTTATTGAACACTTATGGTGTACTTGGCTTTGTGCTGAGCACCTTAAATGCATCATCTCAATTGCTCCGTGCCCCGCAAGCTGCCCTAGCACTCGTTTTCTTGTAAGAGTCTTTAGAATTCATGAGACTCCAGTTTTCACTCTTGAGCACATAGAACTCCAGAGAGAACACGCTGCTGGCCCAAGGTCACCTGGCAACTTGATAGTGAGAAGCATTCTGTGCAATGGGCACAGCCACTCCTGCTTCCGAGACAAGCTGCCAAGTGCCTCTCACTGTGCCTGGCGCCGCACTGAAGCCAGCACTCGGGGAGCTGCATCCCCCGGCTCCTTACCCTGCTGTGCCTGCTCCTCCTGCCAGAACTTGGGCCTGCCCTGGGCCCTCTGAGAAGAGTGTCTGGCTGTGGCATACATAGCTGGGGTCAGCCCAAGGCTACAGCAAGGCCAAGTTCAGGCAATGATCAGAGTGTGGCTTGGTGTGGGGCCAGGGTTGGCCATCGGGGTCTGCCTAGTGCCAGGGGTCAGTATGGTTGGTTAAAAGGTCAAGGTGGGCTGAGGCCAAGGGTTAAGACCATGGCTGCCAGAAGCTAATATATGGCTGGTGTCGAAGTCAAGGTGTAGTCAGGAGTAGGGGTCAGTATGTGCCTGGGTTCAGGAGTCGGTCTGTGGCTGAGTCAAGTGTCGTGTGGAGCTGGGATCAAGAGTCAACAGGTGGCCAGCTGCCTTCAGAAAGCTGCACTCCTCCCAGACCCTTGTCCTGGCCCTTCTGCTCCACCCAGCCTCCCCTGTGGCCCCAACTGCGAAGGAAGGTGCTGAAAGGAGCATAGCGTGAGGCAATGAAGGCCAATCTGATGGGAAGCTGGCTGACAGCAGGACTGTCCAGGGGGCCCTAGGGCTGATCCTGGAGCAGGAAAGACTTGGAGCTGGAGGAACAGGGGGACCTAAGGAGTCCATCCTGCCCCTCCCTCTGTGCCCTGGCCCTGCCGCTCCCTCTGCCACTGAGTTGCAGCTCCAGCCTCATCCCTGTACCCGCCATCCCTAGGGCCTCTCCAGGGGCCACTAAGACAAAGTCAGTCTGCTCAGGCTGCACCCAAGGGGGATGTTCTTGGGGTGGATGCCCTTCCTGTGGAGCCGTAGCTCCCACCACCCATGCAACGTGGCTAGGGCCCGAGGCCCCCGTGGGGCTCCAAGGAGAATGCCCACTTTCCCCTCCTTCTCTCCTATGCTTATGCCCCTGCTGCTCTCCCCAGCAGGACGCTTCCCTGCCCCAAAGTGGAAACCCTCAAAGCCCAGCTCCCATACCTCCTCCTTTCTGGAGCCTACATGGAAACCTTCTTCTTTCCTCAAAGCCCAGCTCCTATACCTCCTCCTTTCTGGAGCCTACCTGGAAACTCTCTTCTTTCCTCAAAGCCCAGCTCCTATACCTCCTCCTTTCTGGAGCCTAACTGGAAACCCTCTTCATTCCTCAAAGCCCAGCTCCCACACATAACTCCCCTCCAAATTGGCTTCCTGGGCTGCTCACACTGTCTCATCCGTGCAGGCTGGAGCCTCTGAGGATACTCGGGACAAGGTTAGGCAGGTCACAGGTCTGCATTAGGGAACAGTGCATCCCTCTTTAGGAGAAAGTTCTTTTTTGCCACATCTCAGAGAAGGGCTCCGGGCCACTGCTGTGTGGTCCCGCCTTCCTCACAGTTGTGAGTCACTCTGTTTAAAGAAAGAGGGAGGAAAGGGTGGGCTCAGAGCCAATGGGATGGAGGTGCTACTCTGAGGCACCCAGCTCTAAGGTTCCAAGTCCCAGCAGCCAGACTTCAGCCCCATGAGCTGCCTGGGCGATGCCCACCCTGCCCAGATCTTGTCTTTGTTGTCCTGGTATTCATATTGTTTTTAGAGCTCCTTTCTCTTTTTCACCTGTGGCAGTTGATGCTGCTTCTTCCTGAATAACAGTCCTGTAAAATGTCCTTTTTAAATGCCAGAAGAGGTCGGAGTGGGTGCAGTCCAATGGAGCTGACCTGTTTGCTGGGAAGCCCTGGCAGTCTGCTTTCCTGTAGCTGTGGCTTGTCTGCCCCGGGCCTCACAGCCTGCAGGAGAGTTGGACTCATTAAAAATAATTGCCTGGCCGGAGTGGTGAGTTCCCTCGGCAGCACCCGCTCCAGCCAACTCTGGCTTCCTTGGCAGGCGCCCTCCCCTTGTCCAGGGCTGCCCTGCTGCTGCTGCCACAAAGCAGAAACCCAGTGGCCCCTGGGAACCTTCACTGGAGGTGAGGGGGGGACCTGGGGTTGGAGTCCATCGGGTAAGGAGAGGAAGCAAAGGCCGTGCAGTCCCAGGCACTCTGGCTCTGGCACAATTCTGTGGGGCTGAAGGGGTCACTCCCATGTTGCTGGTGGAGAAAGCAGGGTTCAGAGAGGTGCAGGGCTTGGAGACACACAGCTGTGGAGGGCACATGGCTGTGTCTGGGCGCCTGGGGCAGAGCCAGAGGCCAGGGATGGGGGGCTCATGCCAGGTGTGCTGGGTGGGGGGTGGGCAGCTGGACCTCAACAGGTCAGGGCTTCCAGGTCACTGCACCTGGACCAGGTGGGAGACAGGGCCACAGCCACATGCTGGCCATTGCAACCTAGAGGTCTGGACAGGGATACTGAGGCAGGAGCCTAGTGCAGGTGGGCAGCAGAGCCCCCAGGGTTCCCAGAGGCCAAAGGGACATTAGACCCACAGCACAAGGCCTGATGCCAGGTGACCCACATCCTGCCTGCCCTGGCCAGGTGGCAGCCGGACACTGTTTAAATGCCTCTGCCACCTGGCCCTGAAACTTACTGCTCTCATGGGAACCAAGAACTCTCTTGGTGTTTGGGCAGGCATGGCCACCTGCTGGATGTGACCCCGGGAATGCCAAACAGGTCTTCCTGCTCCAAACATGCACACAGAATGGTGTCCCCCTAAATCCGCACGTTGGAGCCCTCACCCCCAGTGTGGCTTCTAAGGAAGTAATGAAGGTTAAATGAGGCCTTAAGGGTGGGGCCCTGAGGTGAGAGGATCAGTGTCCCCATAAGAAGAGACACCAGGGAGCATGCTGTCCCCACACATGCACAAAGAAGATGCCCTGTGAGCACACAGTGAGAAGGTGGCCATCTGCAAGCCAAGGGGAGAGACCTTGCCAGACACTGTCCCTGTCAGCAACTTGATCTTGGACTTTCGGCCTCCAGACCTGTGACAAATGAACCTGTTGTTTAAGCCCCCCAGCCTGTACACACATGCACACACACACACACACACACACACACATGCAAACAGTTCTCTAGGGGTGCGAACACACATGAAGTCTTTTCCTGTGTCCCTCAGCTGGGGGGGTCCCCTTTTGGAGAGGGCCCATGAGTTGAGAGGCAGGGGTTGCGGAGGTCACATCACACCTAGAGGGGCCTGAGCCAGAATCCCAGAAGGGGATGTTCCTTTCCAAGCTGCGTACAGGGACTTTGGCAACTTACCATTTGGGTCTCAGTTGCCTTATTTGTAAACAGGGATAAAACTCATCTCCAAAGGTGCAACTCACATGAGCAATGCTTTCAAAATGCTCCACCCTGCACAGAGTATGTGAGGCATGGACACTGTAATTTGTTAATTATATGAGCATCCTAATGATGAGAGGGTAGACTGAGAAGAGATGCACAGACAGGACAGTGCTGCATGTGAAGGCCACCCAGACTGAGGAGGGGAGAGCAGGGAGGGAAGCATGGGTGGCTGGAATTGGGGTGAGCAAGGAAGGGATGGGGCCCTTCCTGTGGATCAGCACACATTTACTTAAAGACTGCGAGGGCTCAGCGCCTAGCAGTGGCCTTGGGGAGGCCCACCTCTCAGTGGTTGGGGACAGCTTCAGCTCCTCGGCTGTGAGATCTGGGGAAAGATGGGAATCAGGCTGGTCTAGCCTGGCCTCTGTGCATCTTCTGTTTCTCCTGCCTCATATCCATGCAGCATGAGCCACCATACACAGAATGTACAGGGTAGTGCACAAACGACCTTGGCAGCAGAGGTCAGAGCTGGCGGGGACCCAGGTTCTAGCTGGATGTACCTTGGAATCAACCACTTGCGGGGGGGTGGGCTCTAAGAGCCACGAGGTCTGAGCTGCAACCCTAGAGAACCTGCCGCATGTGTAACTGTGTTTATGCCATACACAGCTGACTGTGAGCCGACAAAGTCCTATTAGGGTTAGCCACTGTCAGTGCATGTTAACAAAAGGAACAATTCACTGGGAAGACATTAAAATCTTGAACTTGTATGCACAGAATAATAGGAAAACATAACCACTAAACACATGACGGCCTGTTCCACTGCACTAATAATAAAAGGCCAATGGAAAGAGTGTTGGCCTGAGACTTTCACCATCTTGGTGTGCAAAGTGTAAAAAGAGTGGATGCTGCTCTCTATACATACTCATGTGTTGAGGGGATGACATCAATTGGCATAACCTATGGGGAAGCCAAGTCTATCAGATTAAAACTTGCATACTGTGCCTTGGCGATCCCTCTTGTGTATGCAAAATAGTCTGTTAAGTCAGGCAGATCTAACGTGTGGCATATCTGGACAGTGAGTTCTGGGACCCATGTGGGCTTTTTCCTCTGTGCGGGTCTCCAGGAGTCACCACGACAGGTTAGGCTGGACTCCCAACACACCCTCAGCTGCCAGCTCTGGAGAGGGAGGTCAGAGCAGGCTGAGAGGGTGGTGGCATCCTCAGTAGGCACAGCTGATGCTTCACACTGATGGCTGCCAGGAGGAGAGGGAGCCCTGAAAGTCACAGGGGAAGGAGGCAGGATGGTGTTTCCACAGAGCAGGGCTTGGGCATGTTTCTATCACTGGGAAGAAGCCAGCAAGAGCAGGGAGGAGCAGGAGGGGTTATTCACTCCTTCCACATCCTAGGCCGAGAGAGGGAGGCAGCAGGAATTGCTTTGTCCAGAAGAGGAATACTTCCCTATGAGAAAGTGTGGGGTGAGGACCTGTCCTCCCAGATCTCAGGGAGATGCTGACTGGGCCATCCTGCTTCCCAGGCCCGGCCACCACTCCAAGAATTTCACCAAACCCCTGTTCTGCCTCCCTCTGCCAGAGCTGCCTTCTGTTGCAGGCCAACAAATTCCCTGACTGATCCAGAGCACAAGACCAAAGGCAGGGTAGAGGCAGTTGGCCAGGCCTTTCCCAGGATGCCGCGTCTGCCTGCTACCAGGGACAGCTTTGCTCCCCTGCCCCCTGTGCCACTGTGCCTATGAATGAGCCTCCCCCTTTTTTCAATAATCATATTTTTAAATTTCTAAAATCTCTAATTAGTTCTTTAATATATAACTGCTAATTCTTATTTAGACAGTGATATCCTTCCTTATCTCTGAGGATAGCAATTTCCAATTTCATAAAATAATTCCTGCTCTGGTTGCTCTGTTAAAGCTGGCTCTTTGGGTAAAGCCTTTCCATTAGTCTGATCCATCATTTTCCTCCATGGCCCTCTCAGCGGCTGTATCTTCACTGCGAACGTCCCAGGCCCTGCCCACCCAGGGGGTGGTTTTCCTCTTTAATCTGACCCAGCTCCTCTCTTATTTTCAAGGAATTCACACATTGGCCCACCGAATGTGGCTGTTCTTGTTTTAGACTGTGTATTTGTTAGATTGTTTTCACATTTTTGAAAAACCGCTTTGTGGATTTAGCATGGGAGAGGAGATGGCACCTTGTTCCAAGCCCATCGCGCAGGATGGGAATTGGCTCCATGGCTTGTAATGTCACTCATCATGTTCTGTCCCATTTTTGTTCTACTTCTATAGCAAACATAAATGTGGTCTTCTTCAAAGATATCATCTAACTGGTGATCTACGTTCTATAGGAAAACAATTGATTTTGAGTATATTGCTATTGTGTTCAGCCACTTAACTGAAGACCTTCAATCAATTATGATTAGCTTATCACTTAATTATCTGTATAAGAATTAGATTAGGCAGCAACTAGACAGACCCAAAATGTGAATGACTTACACAAAAGCCCAAAGGAGTGGCCCAAGGTCAGCACAGCGGGCTCTCCATGATATCCCCATGTTCCTTCAAGCTCATTGTCCTCCCCTCCAGGATGTGGCCCTTGCCTGCATAGTGCAAGGTGGGCAGCTGCAGCCGTCAAGTAAGCTCTGGGCTGCAGCACCGAGGAGAAGAAAGAGGAGGAAAAGGGTGGAGCATGACTTTAAGGAGGTTTCTGGGAAGCTGCCACACGGCCACACATAGCTGTGAGTGGGGAAATGTTATTTTCCTCCAGGTGGCCATGCTAAACACAAGATTTGATCACTACGGAAGAAGGAGGGAAGGGATATCAGCAGACAATTAGCTGTCTCTGCCATGATTCATTGACAAATAATAACTGTTTTACCTCCCCACTTTAAAGACCAGTGCCTCCTATATTTGTTCCGGAGACGAGAGACGATGGTGTGCATGATGACCTCTTCAAAGCCCAGTGGTCACTAGGTCCTCGTCACTCCTCCATGTATGCACCCCACACAGGGAAATGAAACAGAAAGGAGATATGTTTTGAGAGCTGTCCAAGGAGACTTGCTGCGGGGCTGGATGGGAGAGGTGAGGCTGAAGGACAGAGGCTGACTCTCCCCGGTCTCTCCACGTGCATGACCAATGGGAGACACGGCTTCAGCCAAGTCTGGGGAGACAGGAGGAGCCGCAGGCAGTGAGGGAGGGTCTGAGTTCAGTGTTTACCAGCAGAACGTGGGATGTTTTTCAGAGAAGATGTTTCCCAGAGATCACCGACAGACCAGGAGCTGGAGCAGGGCTGCTGGCCTCACATGGCCGCTGCGTCTGGGCCTTCCCCTCACCTCCTGTTTCCCATCCCCAGTGGACCCCTGATGATACTGGGTCCCAAGGGTCAGCCCCTCAAGAGGGGCCCCTTCTGTGCCTTCCTCACTGACAATGCACAGGCTTTCTGGACCCCAAGACCAGCTCAGAACCTGCACATAGTAGGTGCTCAGGAAAATTTGCCATTGGAGCAAATAAGAACAGAGAAGAGGAATAGAGTATTGAGTCTTGACAGACCCAAAGAGCCATACATTTCTCCCTTGTCCCTACAGGACCCTGAAAACCCCCAAAGCAGGAATAACAGCTAACACTTATTGACTGGAATCTGAGCTCACTAAAAGCCTCCATCCTGGAGTTGCTGGCTCTGTCACCGCTGAGATGAGTCTGCATGTCCTGCAGTTTTGACTTCAAACCAACATCTGTGGTCAGCTCTCCACTCCCTGCCAATACAGCCAGCACTGTTCTGACAGCAGTCACTAAGCTTGAGGTTCAGTAGCACTGGGGGTGTGTACCGGGGGCCCTGTTGAATGGGTCTTCTAGGAGACTCATGGCCTATATTTTAACTCACACTATCACAAATGTGCCCTCTGAATGTGGTGAACATCTACCAAGCCAGTTTCACATAAGGTCATGGGTAAGCTCATAAACAATGCAAGCATCCTCTTATTTATTTGAGTCTCTCATTTAATCCCAGGATGACTGAAGAGATGGGTGACTTATATAGAATGAAATACTGATGTTCCATGTCCACATGAGAGGTGGACAAGAGGCCCTCGGGGGACAGGACAGGCCTCTCAGTAAGCAAGACAAGGAGAGATGCAGGCAGGTTTCCTAGAGGGAATTTCTAAGCAGATTCTAGATGGCTGGATTAGGCTGGATGTAGTAGAAACAAGAAAGGCATTCCAGGGTGAGGGGACAGCATGTGGAAGGCATGGGGTTAAGGGGGTGAGCTCACTCTCTGAGCCCTGTGTGTCCTTCTCTCCTACTAGGGGCGGTGAACCAGGACTTTGTACGTCAGGACACATCTTTTTCAAAACTCTGGGGGGACTCACATTGATTGGGTCTTCATTAGAACCTCCATTCTTGAGTGTTAGTGGGAGTTTGGCTGGGGGCTTCATCAACCCCAAACAACAAACTTTGCAGGGGGTGAGGGAGCAGGCCTGGATTTGGGGTCGGGATTAGGGATTGGGCAGATGTGAGAGTGCTGGGCTAGAGCGGGTTATCTGACACTGGACAAGCTCAGGGCCTGGGGGTGGGCTGGGGAGGGAGGTCCCAGGCTGAATAATACCCAGAGGCTGGCCTCCTAAAGGGAATTCCAGGCCTGGGTCGGAGGGACGCCGCACATGGTATGTCTCCCGCATGGCAAGGAGAGGAGCCACAGCAATTCCTTATTACAGCCCCTAAGACAGAAGGCCCTGGAGCTGGTCCCCCACCACCCGCTCAGAGCCTACTGCCCTGACAGCTGGAGGCTGGGGGCTGATGGGGCAGGACCAGAGGCCTGAGTCTTTGTGGAAGTCTGGAGCCCTGAGGAGGGCCGGTTCTGTGCACCGGCCTGTGCCCTGCCCAAACAGACTTCTGCAAAGTGACCTGGTTCCAAATGGCATCTCCACTCCAGGGAACACACCCAGCTTTCTGTGGAGAGAACAGAGGTGAGAAAACGAGGAGGAACAGAGACCTGCTCAGGAGGAACAAAGGCCTGCTCAGCGGGGGAGCCAGCTGTCAAGGGCCAGGAGAATCTTGGGGAAGTTCTAGCACCTTCCACCTCCCACGTAGGCATGTTCTGGGAGCGCTTCTGCTTACTTGAGTTGTCTCAGCTTCCCTGAGCTGGGGTTACTCTGCCCAAATGCCAGGTGAGGAAACCAAGGCTTAGACAGGCTCACTCACAGACCAGGACGAACTGCATCAATGTTTTGTAGGTGGCAGCACAGGGACTGGACCTGGGACCCAGGAAAGGGCAAGGACCAGAGGGGACTGCCCTGCTCAGCAACCCTCAACCCAGGTGGGAGGGATTGGGGAGGTAGGGGTGTTGAGGGGGGACACCGTACAGGTGTGCAGTGGGGAGAGGGGAAAGGAGCAGAGCTGGGGCAAAGGGAGGGGGTATTGTGGTGGATGGTGAATCCACGTAGGGAAGGAGAGGGCACAGAAAGGCTGGCAGGCCCAGGTCTAACCCCCATTGGTTATCAGAAGGGTTGGAATCGGGGGCTCATGGGAGTGATCTGGCAAACAGACGCTTAGGGATGGGTCGAGTTGAGGCAAAGGGCAGGGCTGTTAACAAGGGCAAACCCCCTAAGGGCAGGGTGGCCAGGGAGGAGGCGGGGCAGGGCTCTGCAGGAGGATGGAAGGAGAAGGAGAGGATAGCATGAAGAATGAATGCTGGCTGGATCTTCCATAGGCTGTGGACTGTGGAAACCCCGAGGTGGCCAAACCCACTGCCATGTGACAGGAACAAGCCGCCCCACCCACCAGAACAGGGCTGAGCACACAGACTCAGTTCAGGAATCAGAGAACAGAATTACCCTTTGCACATCTGAGCGCCTAGGAAATGTGAACCTGCTTCAGATTCGGAACGTAGTGGGATGAATCTTTTTGCAAAACTATTCAGAAACAAACAACTTGAAAAAGAAAAGGACTGTGCATGATGGGAAGGCTTTTTTGCAATGTCACCAAAGGCAGAACCACTGAAGAAAAATTGATGTGATGACAAAAAAAAAAAAAGTTTAAACATCTGCATGCCAAAAAAAAAAAAAAAAGCATCAAAAGAAAAACTGGAAACAGAAAAGCAAAATAAAAACATAGACTATGTAGAGCCAAGCCAGGAGAAGACTCACAAAGGCCGATAGACACATGGAAAGCTGTTAACTTCAAGAATAATTGAAGAAACTCAAATCAAAGTTAGAGGGTGATGTTATCTTTGTTTGTCAGATTGGCAGATTCCAGGGTTCAGCAGGTGGGGCTCCAGGCCCTGGGGAAAGCACATGCCCATGGGTGGCTAGCGGGACTAAATTGGAAGGGAGAGCCACTTGGAAACTGCTCTCAAATTCAAGATGTCTATTTCCCTTGGCCCTGCTATTCTGCTTCCTTTTCCAAGATGAATTAACTGAAAAAGGAAATTTACTGAGGTCGGGGGCTTTTGAATTAACTCCAGGGGCAGGGGCTTTGTAGTGCGAGCTGGTTTGTGGAGCTGTACGGGGAAGGAGAGAGCGGTGCCTCTGAGGTGCACACATCCCCTGGCCCCATCAGATCCATGCCCAGGTGAGGGGCTCAGAGGCCCTTGTCTTGCCAGGGTGTGCCTGTGAGGAGAGAGTCCCAGGAGACAGGGCAGGGAGGATGCCCTGTTGTAAGGAAGGAGGTGGCAAATGAAATTTTCAGTCCCATCAGAAAAGAGTTAGTGGTGGGGAGAGGGTGGGAAGAGCAGGACTGGATTTGGATTAGGCAGAAGAGCTGCTATGAATCCTGGATCCAGGGGAGGTGATTGGACAGCCTTCCCCGGGGGAAGTCCAGCCCTTCTCACCGGGAATCGAAGAAGAAGGAAGGAGGTCGACACACTAGGGGAAGCCAAGCTGATGTGGAGGGGGCCCCAGTAGGTGGGCCTGAGGCCCTGTGCCCCAGCAGAAGGACTGTTCCAGCCATAGGTCCCTTGTTTCCTCCCACATCCCACCAGGAGAACTCAGCCCAGTCCTGGGGCTCTCAGAAGCCAGCCAGCCATGGGGACCCAGCAGCTGACTCTCTCAAGGTAGCCACTTCTGTCACCTGGTGGGTGGGACAGCAGCTGCTCCCCTCTGGAAGGATTCAGTGTCTCCATTTCTTTTTCTTTTTTTTTCTTTCTTTTCTTTTTTTTTTTTTTTTTTTTTTTTTTGTGAGACGGAGTCTTGCTCTGTTGCCAGGTTGGAGTGCAGTGGTGTGATCTCGGCTCACTGCAACCTCCGCCTCCCGGGTTCAAGTGATTCTCCTGCCTCAGCCTCCCAAGTAGCTGGGATTACAACCATGTGCCACCACACCCAGCTAATTTTTGTATTTTTAGTAGAGACAGGGTTTCACCATGTTGGCCAGGATGGTCTCAATCTCCTGACCTCGTGATCCACCCACCTCAGCCTCCCAAAGTGCTGGAATTACAGGCATGAGCCACCATGCCCGGCCCAGTGTCTTCATTTCTAACATGAAGTTGGGCCAGGCCATGATTCAGTTAAGCCATGGTTGTGTCCTCCCCAGTTCGTAGCTAATTGTAAACTGTACCGAGGGAAAGGCTGTGTGGGAACCCTGGGCTCGCCTGGATATGACGGAGGTTCCTGGCATGCTCAGGAGATGCCTGAGGGGCAGGGCAACAAGCAAACCTTCCAGCTGGGCCTGTGGTGCTGGTGAGACTCAGCCAACCCGCTGCAAACTGCGGCTGCACCCACTTCTAGTGGGGGCCTTTGGAGTGTAACCTCATCTCCATGCAGCTCATCTGAAGCCTGGATGACAGAGCCCCACCTGCTGGGGAAGCGTGGGCTCTTCTGGGTACAGGCCACAGGAAGGGACATGTTTCCATTTCACTTCATATACTTCTGTCTACTTCGTCCATAAGCGTGCACTGCTTTTATAATTAAAACCTTGAATAAAGATTTTTTTTTTAAGAAAAGACAAAAACAAAAACCAGGGCATGGCACAAGAAGCAAACTATTATTACTAATATTAATAATGATTATGATAATATTATTAATAATAATTAAGATCATCATTGCTAGCACTGTCATTCCCTACAATGTCACGGTATGATTATTGTCAGACGAGCTTTGCCATCCTCTGAGCTGGGTCAGTGAGGCTTTGGATTCCCAGGAGCCCAGCTTGCCTTGAATCTGCAGCTGGGCTGTATGTCTACCGTGCAGAGGAGCTGAGGGAAAAGGATGGCTGTCATTGTCCTGGACACAGAGCCTGCAGGGAAGGAAGTGAGCGGAGGGCAGCTGTGACTGAGTGACTGAAGAAGCAGAAAGAATAGGAGAAGCAGGGGGTCGATGTTCCTTTGAGAATTCCCCCCTTGGAGATGCCAAGGGGGCTGTAAGAGCCCTAACCCAGGAAGGTCCACGTGGGGGCAGGTCCTGGTGTCTGGGATCCAGCCTGTCCTCACCCCTTTTCAGCAGTGTCTCCAGCCCCTGCCCCCACATACCAGGAGCTGCTCTGGAGCTCACGCAGTGGTGTGTGTGTTCCAGCTGGGTAATAACGTGTTCTCTCTTCTGTGCTCAGAGAACAAAGCAGATCTGTGCGAGGGCTGCTGAGGGGGCCCGGCTTGTGCCTCCTGCTTCCAGGTGACTGGTGCAGATGGAGTGGGGAGGGCTGAGTTCACCAAAGAGGTGGGGTGGGATAGGATCCTGGGGTGGGAGCTGGGTTATGGAAGTGGGTCAGGGAAGGGCAGGGAACAGCCTGTGCAGAGACCCTGAGGAAAAAAGGAGGCTGAGCCCTTGAACCTGAGGCTGGACTGTGCTGGGCAGGTCTGGTGGGCACCAGCAGGGTTGAGAAGGGATGGGCTGGGGAAAGGAGCAGGACTTGGGCCCTGAGAGCCCTGGGAAGCCATTGACGGTATTTAAGCCCAAGGAGTGACCAATTTTCCAGTTCTACAACATCTCCAGGGCTGAGGAGAGTGGGCCAGGGCAGGGATGATAGGACAGTGAAAAGGCTAGATGAGAGAGAATTTAATCATCGGGAGTTGGGGCTGGCCTGGACAAGTCGGGAGACAAGGGCACCGGCAAGATGGACCAAATGTATGGAAGATGGAGGGGCACCCGGTCCCGCTGCAAAGGCTGTTGCTCAGACTCGTGAGACCAGGTCATGGGGAACTTGTGAGATTTCCATTGAGAATTCACCTGCCTGGCGAAAGACTAGAGAGACACAAGACACAGGCTGGGAAGGCCTGATATCATACACTTAATCCTCCCCAAACTCACAAATGCATTTAATACAATTCCACTTAGAAACTCAATTGTTTGTTTTGAGATCTGAGCAAAATGGTTTTAAAGTTTACATAAACTAAAAACACATGCCCGCAGAATGCACAAAAAGACATTCCTTTGTACATAATAGAATGATGTCCTTTGGGGAGAGGGCAGGAGTGTAACTGAGCATCCCAGCCTCAAAAGTATTTAAAATTTTTCCCCTTTCTTGCTTTTGGCCTTGAAACACTTTGAAACGCCTCCCTTTCCACCAGGCACTTTCATGAACAATGTTCACTTATCTAATTATGTGCTTGCTTAGAAATTCCAGGGGCCAATTTGGAAACAAACCAGGCAGAGTGGACCAGGTGCAGAATCTTCCTGCTTAGTAGGGTTAGGAAGAGTGAGCCCACCACTATGGTGCTGAGGTCACCAGGATGATGCAAACTGGACCCCCAAATAGGCAATTACTCAAGATAACCATAGGAACAGACATGCAGCCCTGCACCCTCCTACATATCTCCACACCTTTTCCTTCTTAAACCCCTCACTCTGACCAGAAGGCAGAGATGGTTCTTTTGAGGCTTGAGCCCAGCCATTCTTCCATCTGCTAGCATTTGACCAGTAAAAGCTGCTTTCCTTCCACCACACTTCTCATGCTTTGACTTCTGGGTGGTGAACAGCTGGACATGAGCCATTTATAAACTCAGTGCCTCATGTAAGGAGCTGTGTGTTTTGAGCGGCTCAGCCTGTACATCTGGCTTCCAACTAGTGGAGCAATTGGCTGTGGCAGTGCCAGGGCTCACCCACTTATATTACCAGAAAGGGCAGGGGTTACTTGCAAATGCCAGCTGCTCGTGGCCAGCTGACCCTGCCACTGGGACTTTAGGGAATTCCCAGCAGCTGCTGAAACCACCTTTATCTCAAGGATCTTCCCTTCCCTCCTCTTCTTGGCATCAGCTGCTGTCCCTCTGTCTCAAGGGAAGCAGCATCTGGGAAGTCGACAGACTTCAAGGACTGGGTAAGTCAACTAGAGTGCACCTGGAAATCCTCTGTCTCTGGCCTCTGGGCTCTCCAGCTATCTACAGCAGTATTGGTCGTCTGTGCTGCCATCTTGGCCTCTGTGCCATCTAGACCTAACACAGGTTAGTCTGTGGTGCCTTTTGGACCTCTGTGAAGTCTGGACCCAACACAGGTCATCTGTGGTGCCATCTGGGTTTGAGACAAGATCTCAGGACTTTTCCCCAGCCTCCCTTCTTCAGGGAGCAGTTTGGAGTCCCCTGTCTGCATCTGCATCTGTGTTTGTGTCTCTGTTTATTGTTACCCCTCTCTTTGAGGGTGCTTTGGCATGGTCTCCATCCCACCAGCCAAGACTAAGTCAGAAAGTAGCAAGATGGGTTGCTGCTCTCCTCCCTAGGGGAGAAACAGTTTCCAACATCCCAGCCCTGGATTTTGTCATCGTCTTTGGGACTCTAGTGTACTTCCTGTATCTGTGTCAAGCTTTGTAGGGGGAGAAAGCATGTGAACTCTTTTCTAGACTATCTGGGACTTGAGCTGGTTACATATTATGGCCAGTTTCTGTGCACATTTTACACTGATAGGCAAATGACAGTAAAGAAAATCCAGAGCTCAAATGGTTAACATGGAACTATAAAGGTAAGCAGAGTCTTCTAAAGCTCTCTGTCTACTTCTCTCTGCCTGCTTTGAATGTGCTGGCTGCTTTCAATGTGCTGTTACGAAGCTACTGCTACTGAAATGAAGCTTACTATTTGAAGGTTACTTGGAGATTTTGTTTTTCTTATAAAGTTTATCCACTATGGCTAAAATGGAAACATTACAAAATCATTTGAAACTGAATGAATAAAAAGGTAAACAAGGTTTTTAGAACAAAATTGCTGTAGAGACTGCTTTATCCAAATTTTGGTTCACAGTTTCTTAGATCAGGGCAAATGAGGTTTAGCCATATGACCAAGTTCGAGTTTCATCAGAAAGATAATTTGGACCCAGCTATCTTTTATCAGGTGGTAAGTATGTATTGTTATCTTATGGCTAGAGTTCCCAGGTAACAGCTATTGGATTCTTGTTTGTGCATATATGTATAGGTGTTTGGATATATTTGTATATAGGTACATGTATTATGTTATATGTTGTATCTAGCATTCTACCAAATTGGTTTATAAGTAAATGACTACTCATAAATTAACTCCAAATGCTTTTCAAGTTCATGTGAATCTTTAGTAAATACACCTGGTTTTAAAATCACTGATAAAAATAGAAATGTCTTCAGAATTGTCAGCATAAATTTTCATGTGAGTTTATTGACCAAATGGTTTTATATTTGTCTCTGTCTATATATTAAGGTATCATGGTTTGACATAAAGGTTATAGGACTATAAAGCCATCCAGAAACAGAATGATCTTTGTTTTTGCGATTTTTTTTTGATAAATAAGACTAATTAAGATTCTTGGTTCAAGGCAAACAGTGAATCTTTTGAGTTATCAGCAAAATGTGTTTAAGGTTCTTAAGTGTTCACCTGTTATTCAGACTTTTTAAATGGCTAACAATAAAATAACTTGAAATAATGACTAGTTTTGTCTAATATCTCAGTTTTCAGAAGTAACCTAAACTGTTAAAAATGCAAAATTTGAGTATTTGTAAATGAGATAAATGCTTGCAAGTAGACTTTTGTATACTTGAATTAAATAATAGCTGCTCATTGAAGGTTTGGGTCATTTCCAATAAAAAAAATTATAGTATGGGAAAACATGTTCCAAAAATTATGGAATGGTTTGTTTATTCTGTAAAATGCTAACATCTGACAAACAGTTCAGGATTTCTTGCTTCCTAGGTTTTCACTAAAATGCAAGGTTACAAAGAACGAAAATTCTAATTAATATATCATTCCACAAGCTGTGTTCTTATTGAAAAGATAATTTTATGTAATTTGGAGGTTATTTAAAAGTTATTTATAAAAGAAGGTAGAAAAAATGGTAAGTAGGAGAGAGATGTGAAGAAAGTTGTGGATATGAAGATGTATTTTTGGTAAGAAAAGTTATAATGGAAAGAAAATGATTTTGTATAAAAAAGAAACTTATTTTCCTTAGGGTAAATTTTTGCCCTAAAGAAAAATGACTTATTGTTTAGGAAAGAGAGAAGTATAGGACACGTCAGAAAATCCAAACATGTCATAAATGGTCATTGTAAGTCATGATAAGGTTCATGAAGGGGAATTTATAAAAGGAATTTCATATGTAATTAAATTAGCTATAATTAAAGGGAATTATTTATAATAGTTTTTCTAAAGAATGATTCCCTATGTTAAAACAAAGTTTTCTAAAGGTATTGATTTGCTCTTAATGAAATTACAATATATTTTGCATTTTAATTCTATAATCTGTTTCTTTTAAAAACTTCTCAGATTCATATCTCAGAAGTTCAACTTTTGTTGTGTCTTGCTGCTTTCATCTTTTTCTCCCTTTGAAAAGGCCTGAGATGATAACTCTCCTTCAACTTTTTCCATCAGCTCCTATAATTTTTCCCCTACAGTTCTGTTGTGGCCTGATGCAGAAATGTTTTATCCTAGAGGTCTATAAAAACAATATTTTCCCCAGTAAAACTTGATTCTGTAATCTTTTCTTTTCTTTTCTTTTTCTTTTTCTTTCTTTCTTTTTTTTTTTTTTTTTTTTTTGAGATGGAGTCTCACTCTGTCTCCCAGGCTGGAGTGCAATGGCACAATCTCGGCTCACTGTAACCTCCACCTCCTGGATTCAAACAATTCTCCTGCCTCAGCCTCCCAAGTAGCTGGGACTGTAGGCGCCTGTCACCATGACTGACTAATTTTTGTATTTTTAGTAAACTCCATGTTTCACCATGTTGGCCAGGCTGATCTCCAACTCCTGACCTCAGGTGATCCACCCATCTTGGCCTCCCAAAGTGCTGGGTTTACAAGTGTGAGCTACTGTGCCCAACCTGGCTTTTTTTGATATGTCTAAATTTTCCATGTAATCAGGAAATTTCTCATGCAGTTACTAAGAGTCATATATTCCCCTGCTATATTCATAACTTTGAACACACTCTTCTTGTGTCTAATTTAATTCAAGCACCCTTTTCATCAAGTATGACTTCCAGGGCACTAAATGGGCCTCCCATAAGTAGAAGCAGTCACACTGCAGAAGGTTTTTCTTTGCATTTTTGGTAACTGGCTTAAGAAACGTGATTTTACCTTTTATTGAGATAATTCCTATGCTGTCTTTATTAGGTTTTTGATTGCTTAAAAAACTGAAATTTAAAAGGGTTAATGCTTTTACATCCATTTAATCTTCTGTATTGCCTTTAAAGTCTTTTAATTATCACGTTGATTACATGAATAACTATTATTTTACAATGATTATTATTCTGTTTTGATCAAATGTTTTCAGCCTTTTAACATCTTTGGCAAATGTCCTCAAAATCAAATCCTAAGTTAAGTCTCTTTCTTCTTGCTGGGGTTTATCAAAGCTAAAAATTAATCACCACAATGTTGAAAAGTCTTTTTAGAGCTTCCAATCAGGTCATGTTCTCCAATATTACCACCCTCAACACCTTGAAAAACTCCTTATCAGGTGCTATTAACTAATCCTTATGCTGTTAAGTTATAGGGCTTTGACTTCTGGGTGCACATATCTCATCCAAAGAAGGCACTGACTCCTGCCAGTATCAGACACCAAAGTCAAGTTAACCAGAGCCTCATCTTTAGACCTAGGCAAAGGCAACAATCAAAGTAAACTGCTTTCATGAGACATGTATTCAAAAACATTAAGATTCATTAAATTATTTTGTCTCTGTGTGGAATAATATAATTTATTGTATGTCTTGATACTAAATAATTTAAACATTTAGTTACCCATGAGTTTCCTTTCCTGTCATTCTCAGAAGTAGGCAGGGCTTATGACTTTTTAATTTTGAACATTGCTAATTATTTATGTTTTGTTTTACCTCCAGAGTTTGAAACTAGGCCCAGAGACTATCACATGAGATTTTAAGAACAAGTTTTGGGGGAAAAAATTAGTTCAGACCCTCCAAATAAAGGATGAGCGCACAGATGCTCAAACAGTTGAACAAAATTATTTTGTTTTGGATAGTTAGTTGGTACAATCCAAGATTACAGTATCTCAATGCATAGAATTTTTATATAAGTCAATTTTGTAACCTTGCCTTTTAGATTTTGGGTTTTGGCTCTTATGTTGCTTATGAGAGGTTTTAAAGTTAATGAGTGCTTGCCCACCTCCATTCTCCTCTGGCCTGTAATGTTTAATTGGCTGTAAGTCTTTTGGCTCTAAGTCCATTGGCCATAAGGATCCCACCAGGAGACATGGCAGACCTGGGGCAGGTAGCACACCACCCCAGCATTAATATAAGACAAAATAAAAGTTGGGTTATCCAAGCTGCCTCTGGCATACCTTGACAAAAAAGGAGGAATAGAAACAAAAAATCCTAAGCCCTCCAACAGGATGAATGGACTCCCCTCTTGGCCAAAGGAGATCTCAAATATACCCAAAAAACTAGTGCAGGCCATAGAAAGCAGGAGTCAGACACACCTCACTATACCTTCCCACCCACACACACAAGCACTTTGGAATTTAGGCACAACTTGCTAGCATTAACATTAAAACAGAGAGAATAAGACTGGCAAAATAGACTCTTTATGGCAATAAGATACCAAATTATAAAAAAGACCTAAGACCATGCCAGGCAAGTGTTAAGTCTCCAACCTAAAGTGGAGTCGTATATTGCATGCATATTTATTCAATATGCATGGGTCAGGACCACCTTCATATATATTCATAGCTTCTCCTATAACCTCTTAAATATGCATGTTTAGTCAACCTATCATCATATCACTACATGAGCCTCAGGTACAGTTGATGATGGGGAGCAAAATAATTTATTTCTTAGTTGATACTGGGGCTACTTATTCAGTCCTTAACATCCCCCAAAGCAAAGTATTAAAATGATTGTAGCCATGACTGGGGCTACAGGAAGATTAGAGGCAAAAGGTTGTTTTTTGTTTTACAACCTTTGGAATGTTGTCTGGGGGACTGGGAATTAAGAGTTTTCTCTCTATGCTGGAATGTCTTTGGGATTAAATGTGCTTTGTATGGTAAATGCTCAAGTGACTTCTCCAGAGAAGCAACAATTGTGCTTGCAGGTCTCACTGGATCAGGCACTGTGGCTGCAAATTCTGCTCACCCACCCCCAAGGAAGAAAAGGAAGAACTGTTTTTTCAGGAAATCTCCAAAAAATTTGCTCTTTCCAGGTTCTCATATCCCATGGGTGAGCCCCTTCATCTTTTCTCTCCAGGAAATAAGATGCTGCTAAAATCCTGAGAAAACCAAGGGCCAGACCAATAGCTAGCCAAAGAGTGGACAGGACCTCATGATGGCATAGGATGGTTGACAGTGGTGCAAATCCAGGTAAAGCATTTTTTTGATGCATGCTCTATGCATCAAAAAACACAACAGCAGCATACTCCATGATATGAGATGGTTATCTCTTCAACAATGTGACAAAACTCTTCAACTGACTGATAATATGTGGCTAGGATGGCAAAATCAGAGTAGTCTTTGTAACAGAGCCTATCCTTCCTCCTGGGTTTGGCTGTGGGCCTGAAGCCCTCATGGTTGGCCTTACTTATCTTATAACTGGACTGGCAGATGCACCTGCAGGCACCCTTACCCACCAGGATGTATCCTGTCCCATCTAGACTCTCCCTGCCAATTGGGAAAGCATAGCTAGACACTGCCATAAAAAATGATCATTCCCAGTTGTTCTACCCACTAGCCATCTTTTCCTCCCAGGCGGCAGCCAAATATATATCATTACAAATAGAGGCCCTGGCTAAACATATGACCACTGCCTTTAATAACACCCATCATGCCATCACCCTTCTCACAAAAGAAAGCTCACAGATTAGACAAGTGGCCCTGTAGAAATGTGTGGCCTTAGGCATCCTGACTGCAGCCCAAGGAAGCACTTGTGCACTGATAAGACTGAATGTTATATATATATACCAGATTATTCTCATTAAAACCCAAGCTATACATGCATTGGACACCCATATTTCTACTATCAATGTTCTCTCCCAGGACCCCATAACAGCATGGTTTAGTCAACTTCCTAATGCATGACAGACTTTTATGTACAGTACAATTGGTATTCCGTTCATTGTCCTCTTTGTCTGTTGTGGACTTTATTACTATTATGTACTTTGCATGGGGATGCAGGACAGACTTTCTCAGAAGCTTCTAGGTCCTCACAGCATAATGCTCCAGCAAGTTCCTGCTGTGAGTCTGGGGACTGGAGACTATTTCCAAGGCCAGGTTAATGAATTCCATTCTGATACCCCTACTACAGCCCTTTGCAGCAGGAAGTGGACAGATCGACTGTGTCACCCACTTTCCATAGAAATGAAATGGAATTTGACAGTGGGGAATTGTAACTGAGTATCTCAGTCTCAAATGCATTTTCAAACTTTTTTCTTTCTTTCTTGCCTTAGGCCTTGACATACTTTGAAACTCTTTGTTTCTCCCTTTTCCACCAGGCACTTCTGTGAACAGTGTTCACTTACCTAATTATGTGCTTGCTTAGAAATTCCAGGGGTCAATTTTGAAACAAACCAGGCAGCGAGACCCCAGCGTAGAATCCTCTCAGTCAAGGGGAGTTAGGAATAGTGAGCCCACCACCACCATGCCAAAGTCAGGATGATGCAAACTGGATCTCCTGATGGGTGACTACTCAAGATAACCATGGAAATGAGACATGCAGATCCCCTTTTCACCACTCTCACATGTTTCTCACACCTTTTCCTTCTTAAGCCCCTCTCTCAGCCCAGGAGAATGAGATGGCTCCTTTAAGGCTTAAGCCCAGCCATTCTCACATCTGCCAACATTTGACCAATAAAATCTGCTTTCCTTCTACCACACCTCACTTCTCATGCTTTGACTTCTGAGTGATGAGCAGCTGGACTTGAGCCGGTTACAGGAGGCTAAAAAAGAGTCATTAAAGTGAGAGGCTCCATGTGGGTGGTGTGCCTGGGATTGAGAAGTATGGTGAACTCAGATCTCATCCAGAAAAGAAGGCCAACCACTTATGGGATCACTCACAATTATGAATGCATCCATTGCCCCAGTAAAAGAGAAAGACATTGATAAACAAAGAGAAATTGCCCTCTTTTCTCAGCCCCACTCCCTGCCTCTGTGCAGCAGTTCATTTCCTCAGCACTAGAGTTCCATACACCAGGGATGGCAGACACAAACGTCTTGGGGCCAGGCAAAAAAAGGTGACTCTTAATACCTCCAGCACATCTGTAGGATGCAGTGGGAGGTGTCCTTCCAAGATCCTGTTCTGATAATTAGTCAGTTTTCCAGCAACGTCCTTTTTTTTTTTTTTTTTTTTTTGGCTGAATGCACACGGGCTTTGTCTTATGGGAGTTCCAAACATGGGTCCTCTGGTCCCCACCCACTGGGGTATTAGCTGATTCCTGAACTGAACTCATTGTATTCTGATTACAGTGGCTTTCTAGAAAGGTGTGACATCTAGTCAGAAAAGTGCTTCTCATGTTTTTGCTGAAACCTGGAGTCTTGTTAAAAGGCAGATTCTGATAGGCAGGTCTGGGTGGGCTTTGTGATCCTGAGCCCTTAAGAGTCTCTTCGGCAATGTAGTTGCTGCTGGTCCTGGTTTGAGGACCATGCTGAATAATGAGCTCTAGAGCTCATTTTGCTTCTACTTTTTTCACTCTGTGCTGTTTTTAAGATCTTCCCATGTTGCATGGCTTCTGATGGGTAAATAATCTATTCCATGGCGTGCACTCCCCAGTTTTCTGATCCAGTCATTCTGAAATGGACCCTGGCTGCTTTTAGCTCCTCACACAGCTGTGCTGAGGGCAGCATCTGCACGGTGACCCCCACCGGCTGCAGGAGAGCTTGCCTAGGGTGTGAGCATACACTTAATTTGTAGAGGCCCCCCTCCTTGGTTGACAGTGGCAGAAACATATCAGCCTCTGAGCACCCACGCCAAGAAGCAATGCCAACACTTGGCATACCCAGTGTTTTGTTATTCCGATGGGCTAAAGTGACCCACTTCTGTGTAATTTCCATTTTCCAACAAATCATGTATTCTCTTCATGTTTGGGAGCACTTGGAGTTTCTTTCTGTTTTTGCCTATTTTCATCCTTTGTTTGCTTTTCTAATACAGTTGTAATCTTCCATTTGGTAATTTACAGGGATATATCTGTATCTGTGTATATTACACTAGATAGCAGTCCTTTTTCCATTTCAGATATTGAATATATCTTGCTCCAGTCCATTACTTGCCCGTTAAGTTTGTCTCAAGTGTCCTTTGTTGAGCAGAAATCCTTGATGTAAACAAATTCATCCCTTTGGCCTGATGATTTTTACTTTCTGGGTTTTAAGAAGTCCTTACTCACCTCTCTGTCGTAATTCTCCCACGTCATTTTTTATTCACTTGTGGTTTTATTTTTTACTTTTAAGGTTTTTAATGTTTCTAGAAGCTACCTCTGTATGTAATGATTATAGAGAAAAATAAAACTGTACATCTACTACCACCATCTACAAAGTGGATAGTATTTTATTTATAGATAGCACTTTATTTATATTATTAATTTGGGGACACTTGACTTCCTTATACAATTAAGTTATGTGCATTGAAGAACACTAAATATCTCTGTTTTTCAGGTCTTTAAAAAAAGTCTCACTTAAAATTTTCCCCTAGAATTTTATGTATTCTTTTCTAAGGCAATTCCTAGACATTATGCATTTTTATTGTTGTCATTAATATTTAATTTATCTAATATCTAATTTATTATATTTATAATATCTAATTTATTATATTTATTATATTTTCTAACTGATATGGAAAAATGCTATTGAGTTTTATTAAGTTTTGTATCCACCAGCCTTCCAGAATTCTTAATAGGTGTCAAGGTTTGTATTTTGATGATTTTATTTTTTATAGACTTAAATAAATAATGTCATAAATGTACATAAATGACATATAATAAAATTTCTTTAAATAAAATGACATATATTTATTTACACAGACATAAAGACAGTTCTATGTCTTCTCTTTATAATCCTCACCCCTCTTACATCTGCCTTTTTCCTCCTAGCATTCGCCAGCCCTCTTGCATTGTGATAAACACTAGCAATGACAGCCACATCCCTGCCTTGGGGCCCATCTTTAAGAGGATATGTCTAAAGTTTCTGTATTATTATAGTGTTCTGACATATAACCTTTATAAAAGATAAGGAAGTTCTTTTCTATTCCTAGATTGTAATGAAGTCATTATTATTATTGTTGTTGTCATTGTAATTATTATCACTGTGAATAGGTGAATTTTATCAATAATTTTTCTGTATCTATTGAGATAATCATACAAATTTTCTTCTTTAATAAATCATAAATAATGTTTACATATTTTCTAATGTTGAGCCATCCTTGCATTCTTGAGATAAATCCTACCTGGTTATAATGTATATTTTAATATGTTTACATTGTGTTAGCTAATATTTTACTTAAGCTTTTGCATTTGCATTTGTAAGTAATATGAGCTTCTTTCCTTTTTAAGTTTAGTTTAGGGATCAAGGTTACACCAGCTTCCTAACGTGAGCTGAGCAATCTTTACTTTTTTTCACACTGAATTAATCACCCCTTGAGAGTTGTTTACAGATCTCCCACAAAACTGTCTAGACAGGGGGCTCATTGGAAGGGGAATTATTAGATTCCAATTTATTTAACATTCATTGGCTTATTCAAATTTCCTGTTTCTTTTTGTGCCAATTTTTGCATTGTCTGTTTTCCTAGAACTTCATCCACATCATCTAGGCTTTTCAATTTATCTACAAGTAGTTATCATGCTCTTTTACTACTATCCAAAGTAAATCCCTCTTTCGTCCCTTGAGTATATGCTTTTCCACTCTCTCAATTCCTCTTCCGTTTCACTCTGCTTGGGTGTTGCTGGTGTCACTGTTCTCACTTTCACTGATTTCTGCCCTTTACCTTCTTGCTTTTGGTTTGCCTTATTGCCCATTTTCTAATGTCTTTATGTGAATGTTTAGTGCATTTTTTCTGTGTTTTTGGTTCCTGGTAATTTTGTTTAAAATCATAAATTTCCCATTGAATGCTGATTGACTGTAACATTTTTATACTGTTGATTTATGAAGTTTTAACATTTTTCATATTTCTTTTTTAAACCAAAGGTTATTTAGTAATGTGGAATTCAATTTCTGGCCACATGGGATTTAAGGAAGAATTCCTTCACTATTAAGTTCTAATTGTATTACATAATTATTTTCAAATAAAGCCTCTATGATGGTGACTCAGTGAAACAAGTTGAAGTTTCCTTTGTGGCATAGTGAATGGTCACAAATCTTTGTCAGTATTTCATATGTGTTCAAAAAATGTGTATTCTTTGTATTTGGCAGTGGGGGGTGGAAGTATATACCTCTACATATTTCAAATAGCTAAAACTTATTGATTAAATTATTCAGCTGTTTTAGCCCAATCCTGTCATAATCAGGGGTGAGCTGAGGGATATTGTGATTTGATATCTTTTTCCTACCATCATGTGTGGCTGGGTCAGGTAAAAATTAGCCAGCGTTCTTCAGAGAAATGGGACAAATTTTGTGTGTGTGTGTGTATGTGTAGAAAGAGATGTATTATAAGGAATTAGCTCATGCGATTATGGAAGCTGACAAGTCCCAAGGTCTGCAGGATGAGTTGATGAATTAAAGACCCAGGAGAACCAGTGGTGTAGTTCCAGTCTAAATGCAGACAGGCTCAAGACTGGGGAAGAGCTGATGTTTCAGTACTAGTACAACGGCAGGAAAAAGCCAATGCTCCAGTTCAAACGCAGTCAGACAGGAAGAATTCTCTCATATTTGGCCTGCCTTTTGCTCTATTCAGGACTCCAATTGATGGGATGAGGGCAATCCACTTTACTTAGTCTACAGATTTAAATGTGAATCTCATCTAAAAGCACCCTCACGGAAACACCCTGAATAATGTTTGACCATATATATCTGGGCACCCTGTGGCCCAGTCAAGTTGGCATATAAAATTAACCATTGCAGTGTGTAAAGCATATGTGGGAAAATAGTTTGAGGCAGATGGAAGAACACTTTGCCTGTCATAATGGGAGAGAGGGCCCTGAATGTACTGAATGTGAAACCATAAGTGAGTGTACTTGTCAATGGGATGTGGAAGGACTGTGGCATAATAAAAAATAAATATCTGGTCTTTGTCTTGGCACAGAGTTCCTAAAACGCTTGGAATCTCCTGAGTGATAAGAATGTCTTTTGCGTGCTTGCTTTGGCAGCACAGATACTAAAATTGGAATGATACAGAGAAGATTAGCATGACTTCTGTGCAAAGATGACATGCAAATTCGTGAAGGATTTCATTAATAAAAATAATGGCTTTTGTAAGCTAATGAGATGATTGGTGGCTGGGAGCCCCTACATAGCTTCAGGATCAGGGCTGATCACCAGAAAGACCAAGCCATGATTAGAGGATTGGGAATTTCAGACCCACCCCCCAACCTCCTGGGTGGGGAAAGAGGCTAGAAATTGACAGCAATCATTGATGATCAATTATTTCATCAATCATGCCTATGTAACAAGGCCTCCCTCCGTAAAACCCCCTAAACAACAGGGTTTGGAGAGCTTCCAGTTTGGTGAACATGAGGAGGTGCTGGGAGGTGTGTGCCCAGCAAGGGTGTGGAAGCCCCACACCCCTTCTGAGACTTTGCTATATGCGTTTCTTTCATCCAGCTCTTCCTGAGTTGCACTCTTTATCACAAGCCAGGAATGGTGAGTGCAGCACTTTCCTGAGTTCTGTGAGTGTTTCTAGTGGATTCTTGAACCTGAGGGGAGAGGGCTGTGGGAACTTCCAAATTTGTAGTTGCCTGGGCAGAAAAGGGTACCCCATTTGTGGCTGGCATCTGCAGAAAGAAGTCATGTGGGACTGGGCCCTTCAATTGGTGGAGTCCAAGGCTAACTCTGTGTAGTTAGCATCAGAATTGAGTTGTTGAATTCCCAGTTAGTGCAGGAGAATTGTAGAGTTGGTGTCAGGGGGAAGAAGAACTTTTTCAGAGACTTATGGGGACTTGTATTTTCTCTGTGAAATAAGAGGTAAGGTGGCCTAACAAGACAGAATATGGTTCAATAATACAAGAAAGATGTAAATCATAAAAGTAAGAAGCACAGCTCTATTTTAGGGAGACAGTGTGGTGTGGAAGCCCGGGAGACAGGGGAAGCCCGGAGGCTGATGCCACCCTCACCATGTTACTAACTGGTGACCTTGGGAGGTCACTTATTCACCCTCTGCCTCTGTGTTCTCATCTGTAAGATGAGGGAGAATTGTAGGCTTGAAGTTCTTGTGAGGAATACATAAAGATCCCACCATGTCCTTAGCTCTCATTAATCAATTATTTACTTATTTTAAAATATTTATGTATTTATATGTTTTAAATAACAAAAATTATATCGAGATGATGTCTTGATGTATGTATACTCATTAATTATCAGCTGCTATTATAATTATTTGCAGTGACACTATTTCCTACCTAAAAACCCAAGAGAAGAGGTTGAAAAACTTCTAAAATACTTTTAAGACCTGTTACTAAGTTGGTAGGAAAAAATCCAAAGCTTTTCTAAATATCAGCATTAATCAGAAAGAAAATATAATGAATAAGCCTCCAACTGCAAAAACAAAAAATGCTGGATAAAATATAACAAAAATGAACCTGAACATTCATATGGAAGAGTAAAAGTTCATGGAAAGTTTGGTATCAAAGTAGGAATTTTTTAAAAAGCCAGTGAAATAGAGTAAAACAGCCCTGATCCTAGATGAGAACACTGATATGCCACAGAGATGCCATAATAAATTGCTGGTGAAACAATAGACTTTTACATAAATGGTTCTGGGAAATTGGTTATTTAGATGGAAATTTAAAAATTCATTCCCCTGTATCATACCATGCACAAGAATAAATTTCAAATGGAATAAGTGCCTAAATTTGAAACATGTTTAACATTGGAGGAAACAAATGAGAAAGTATCTTTATGACATTGGTGTAGGGAAGAACTTCTTGAACAAGGCATAAAGGATAAGATTAATTAATTTTACCACATTAAAATGGAAGCTTTTAGGCGATAAGAGACACCAATGACAAAGCAAACAGACATTCTTCAGAAGGAGGAAGACACATGCAATGTCCAAAACCAATGGAGAATTAGCCCCCAGCTGATAGAAGAACTCCTACAACTCAGCAGGAAAAAGACAAAAATTTGCACAGAAAAATAAGCAGAGACTAGAAACAGGCAATTCAGAGGAGAAGAAATCTAAATGGCAAATAAACACATAAAAACATAATGAAGCCTATTAAAACACAGAAAATGTATATTAAAACAATCATAAGATGTTATTCCATACCCATCACCTCCTCAAAATGTATAAAGTATGACAATAAGCAAGTGTTGGCGGAATGTGGAGCAGTGGGAACTCTGGTGCCCTGCTGGTGGAGTTTAAACTGGCACAGCCACTTTGGAGAACAATTTGGTATTTTCCAGTAAACCTGAAGATACACATACCTCATGACCTAGAAATTCCACTTCTAAGTATCCAGCTGAGAGAAGCTCTGAAGTATGTGTAGGAGGAGAAATATGCAAGGATGTTTGCTATTTGTAATGGTTAAAAATAATAGTAACAACATGGGAACAACGTAAATGTCCATCAGCAGGAAACTGAATCACAAATTGTGGCATTTTCATGCAGCAGTGAACATGAGTGAAATATATTTGCATTGATATATCTCAAAAATCTAATGCTGGTAGAAAAAAAGTTAACAAACAAGATTTATAGTGTGATAATGTGAAGTTTTAATGAATGTAAAACAATTCTACACATTGTTTACAGACACATGTATGTTTAATAAAAGTATACAATTTGATGGCAGTTAGCAAAAGAGGCGAGCTGTGGGGAGAGAGATTGGAGAAGAGCAAAAAGAGCTTAAGTGTAATATCTTTTTTAAAAAATCTCAAATAAATTGTGCCACAATGCTAAATTTGTTAAATTTGTCAAATTGTAGTGGTAAGTATTCATTATCTTGTTCTCATCACTTTTCAGTGTTTGGAGATATTTCCTAATAAGAATGAAAATAGATGAACTAAGTCATAAACCCTGAACTCTAGAAAAAGAATAGCAGCAGCAAAAAATGGTGAAAAAGGAAGGATAAAATTGATAAACTTAAAAGCAAAAAATGCTTTTGTACTTTTAAATTTCATTAGTGTTTATCAGGAAAACCCAAAGCTTATTCTTTCGAAAAGACTCACAAAATTGGCAATGGGCCAATCTACATAAATGAGAGAGAACGACAGAAAAGGAAGGGAGGGGCACACAAATTCATATCAGGAAAAATGGAATTCAACTTTAGGTAACAAGGAGATTTTTTAGAATTGTAAGAACATGTCATGTACAATTATTATTATTATGTTGTTAATGCTTAATGAAATAGCCAACGTTCTAGGAAAACATAAATAATCAAAATCAGCCCCCAGAAAAAGTAGACAATTTGAAGAACTCAATGAGCTTAAAATACACTAAAAGTGTAACCAAAGAGCTATCTGTAAAATAACACCATGATGAGATGAGTTTGTGGGTGCATTCTACGAAGCCATCTCATGCCACTGTTTCAGAACGTGGAAAAAATACAGGACACCACGCAAAGCGGGCTGTGACCAGTTCTGCTGGGAACACCCTCACTCTCACTCCTGGTCCCTTCATGCCTTTTTAACTCCACCAAGAGAGGCTGGAAAAATGAAACACTTTGCCCATCTTCTTTGCAGGTAGAGGTTCCCATATGACAATTCTGGCCAATGAAACACAAGCAGAAATGTTCTGGGAGGTTCAGGGAAAGCTTTTACCTTCCTGGCCAAAGGCAGAGGGGTATCCGGTGTCTCCCCCTCCCCAGCCCCTTGCCATAGACACAATGCCTGGCACTGAGTTGGTCGCCTTGCAACCATGGATGTAAGAGGGTGGTCCAGGCCTGAGCGGATGCCTGGAAGAACGTCAGCAGCCCCTGCCTCTACACTTCTCGTCTCAGACGCTGGTGAAAGGTTTTGTTATTTGTTTTTGTTCCTTATGGCTGAGTCATTTCTAAAATAAGCACAAACCTCTTAGAAAACCCAAACAAGGACACCGAAAGAAAGTACAACCGATCTTATATATAAACAGATGGACATAATCCCAAATAAAATATTAGCAAGTCAAGTTCAGCAGTGCTTTAAAGAAAATGCCAAGTAGAGTTTAGTCCAGGACCATAAGGATAATTTCACATGAGAAAAGTCATAATGTCATTTTCTTCATTAATAGACTAGAGAAAAGCCACATATTCATCTCAATCAATGCTGGAAAAAACATTTGGTGAGTTCCAAAACTCATTCACAGTAAGGATTCTTGGTGAACCATGTATAGATGTTATCTTCTTCCATTCAGTAGAACTTCTACCTGAAATCTGCCTCAAACATCGAACTCTGGGAACATGAACACAATGCCCACTGGAGGGAGGAGGCGGGCAAGGGTATGTACTCCTGCTGGCACTACTCAGTATTGGCTTGAGTGGATGCAAGTTAACAAGAAAAAAGAATAAGCACAGGCTTTGGAAAGGGAGAGAAATAATTGTCATTCTTTATAGGCAATATAGTCACATATCTAGAAAATCTAACAGATTCTACAAGGAGGCAACCCTTCTGTGTCCTCTTTTTCACAGTGCAGATTAGAGATATCATTAGTACATACCCCAAAGGGTTGTTAATTAAGTTTATATATGTGAAGAACTTAGAATGGTGCCCTGCACATGGTAAGCACTAATAAGGTATAAGATCAACATCCAAAAATCAATAATATTTCTATTGACTAGTAATAACTAATTAGAATTTTTTCTAGAAATTGAAAGCTCATTAGCAATAGCAACCAAACTTATACATACCTAGAAATAAACCTAACCAAAGATGTGATTTCTTAGGCAGTAGATGACAAAATCCCATTAAGGCAGTGGTCCCCAACCTTTTTGGCACCAAAGACCAGTTTTGTGGAAGACAAATTTTCCACAGATGAGGGGAGGGGAGATGGTTTCAGAATGAAACTGTTCCACCTCAGATCATCAGACATTGGATTCTCATAAGGAGCATGAAACCTAGATCCCTCCCATGCACAGTTCACAATAGGGTTCAAATTCCTATGAGAATCTAATGCCAAGAATCTAATGATCTGACAAGAGGCGGAGCTCAGGGGGTAATGCTCACTGCCCTGCCACTCACCTCCTGTTGTGCAGCCCGGTTCCTAACAGGCCATGGACCACTACCAGCCTGTGGCCCAGGGGTTGGGGACCCCTGCATTAAGGGACTGCTATGATCTGAATGTTTATGCTACCCCTGCCAAATTCATATGCTTAACCTAATCACCAATGTGATGGCTTAGGAAGTGGGGCCTTTGAGAGGTAATGAGGCCATGAGGATGGAGTCATCATGAATGTGTTTTGTACCCTTATAAAAGCGACTTGAGAGAGCTGCCTGGCCCCTTTTACCACCATGTGAGGACAGCAAGAAGGCACCTTCTATGAAGCAGAATGCCTTTGCCTGACACCATAACTGCTGGCTGCTTGATCTTGGACTTCCTAGCTTCCAGAACTGTGAGAAATAAATTTCTGCTGTTTATAGTCACCCCGTCTAAGGTATTTTGTTATAGCAGCCCAAATGGACTAAGATGGGGTCAACACAGAAGACTTGAACAAAGGCAGGGCTGAAGCGTGTCGTGTCTGAGGGGTGTCATGAAATATGCCATCGCCCTCCAGAGTAAGTCAGGCGTTCGGTGCCATGCCAATCCATGTCACATAAGGGTTCTTCCTAGAATGCACCCAGCTGGTTCCCAGCTGTATGCGAGGAGAGTGAAAATCCATGGATAACATAAAACAGGCCTTCAGAACAGAACAAGAAGGCCCAAAGTCACCTGTACAAGGAACTTGCTTTTCCTCCTATGGCTGTGTCTTGGTCATTAAGTGGAATTGCTGGTGCATGCAGACCCCTGATCCCCAGTGTCCAGTGGTCCTCCCAAAGGATGTACCAATTAATGGCACTAACAGAGGATGACTACTCTTTCCCTAACACAGTGGATTTTCTCTATTTTTAGTATTTGACAATTTAATTGAAAAATAATGTCTCACTCTTTTAAAAATTATTAGGTGCTTACCTACTCCTTCAGGGCAGCTGGCAGGATCAGGGTGCCTGCTTTTCTATTAGAGTGCTGGGCCTGGTGGCTTTAAGGTATGTAGTCACATAAGTACAGAACCATTAGGCATAGAGCCAGGAAGGAAACTGCTGGATCTATGCACAGGTCTACTTTGTGACTAATGCTCAGCCTGCTTGCAAGTGTTGTGCCTATCTGCACTCCTACTGTGTAGGGGCCTTCTTGTTGTTCTACACCAGTGTCAACTCTTGGTATTATCAGACTTTTCATTTCAGCCATGCAGCAGCATTTCACTGTGGTTTCAATGTGCACTTCTGCAGTTACAATGAGGCAGGGCACCTTTTCATAAGTTTATTGGTATTTGCATACCCTCCTTGTGAGGTGTCTATTCAAATGTGCTTTTCCCCTGGGCTCTTTGTCTTTTTTTTTTTTTTTTTTTTTTTTTTTTTGAGACGGAGTCTCACTCTGTCACCCAGGCTGGAATGCAGTGACGCGATCTCAGCTCACTGCAACCTCCACCCCCACAGGTTTAAGCAATTCTCTGCCTCAGCCTCCTGAGTAGCAGGGATTATAGGCGTGTGCCACCACACCCAGCTAATTGTTTGTATTTTTAGTAGAGATGGGGTTTCACCATCTTGGCCAGGCTGGTCTTGAACTCCTGACCTCATGATCCACCTGCCTCAGCCTCCCAAAGTGCTGGGATTACAGGCGTGAGCCACAGCGCTCGGCTGTCTTTTTTGTGTTATTATTGATATGAAGGCCTTGGAATACATTCTGGATCGCAGTCCCTTGTCAGTCTGTGCACTGCACTCTGTGGCTTGCCTGTCACCCTCTCCCTATTACTTTACATTTGCTTGCTGACCTCACCTACACCTTTATTGGGCTTTATTGAGGGATGTCTCCAGTTCATTTCATCCCTGGAGGAAGCTCTGTTCCTTCCCTTCCATTAGAATGTCTGCATTTTCCACTACTGGCCTATGGACCTCTCTCCTCCAGCTCAGAGCCCTGCTTGCTGCTCCATAACCTCAGCCTAAACCCCAAGCCCCGGCCCTCCCCTCACACACAACACTGAACACGCAAACACAAGTGCACACATGCAGGCCTTCTAGGAGGTGTGGCTGCTGCTGGAGTTTGAGAGAAGATTGGTTGGTAGACGGAGAATGCCAGGGTTTACCTGGGGCCAAGCAGCTCTGTAGGTGCCCCCCTGAGAAGAAAGTGAAGTCACTGAAACGTACTAGGCCTGTTTCCCCAAACCCTGCCCTGCCCACACTCTGCCTGCCTGCCTGCCAGGCTGCTCTCCTCCCTCTCCTCATGGCCACACCTGGGATGCCCTCCTTAGTCCCTCCCAAACTGGCTATTTTTTTTTTTCATCAGCTTGTGATGTAATTTATATACAGTGAAATTCATCTATTTTAGGTGTAAAGTTTGAGTTTTGACAAATAAACTCAGCCACATAGCCAGCACCATGACTGAGGGGTAGAATGTTTCCATCACTGCCACAGGCCCCTCCCTGCCCAGCAACGGCTGTCTGTGCCCTGTCACTAGAGCCAAGCTGGCAGCTGCGTTTTGGTGCTTTCCATGGTCCTGAAATGTAGGTGGGCTAATGGTGTCCACTTCTGCAGGTGACAGAAATTCAAATGAGATTTATAGAAATGAGATTTTGTGAAAACAGGTGGAAGAGCTATCTTCAACTTTGAAATCTACATTTATCATGCCCTGCCCTGAAACAGGGTCCACTTTGCGGAGCCCTGAGGGGCCTGGGCGAGAAAGTCTTCCTTCAGGGGGCTCAGGCTACAGCCCAGCACAAGCCTGGGAAGGGCTTATGAGGGAGTGAGGCACTCCTGCACCCTCACAGGAGTAAAGGAAGCCAGGTTCCAGTCAGGAGATGCAAGTCCAGGGCTCAGATTCCAGGTCTGGGCAAGTGCTCCGAAACACTGCAGAAAGGATTTCCATTGTGCAGGCTGGGGTCCCACATCCTCATCCTCGAATGCCCAGGCTTCCCTTGCCCCTGTAGGGAGGGCAGGGCCGGCACCTATATACATACAGGATGAGCATGATTGCAGGCCTGAGAGCCTCAGGAGATCCAGCATTTGAGAGAGAAAACTGCTTCCTAAGTATGTCCAAAACTGTTTTTTAATATGCAGCGAGACAGAAACTATAGAGATGGGGAACAAATAACTGGTCTCTGGAGTGAGCTGAGTTCCATGCCTCTCATCATGGGGTGATTCATGGAACCTCCACTCTAAACAAGATGTAGAACTGCTCCCTCTTCACAGACAGCCCCTGCACTCACTTACGATGACAACCACCCTTAACTCCAGACCATCCCTCATCATGCCAGCACCAGCATCCTGGTTCAGGCATCGTGCCATTGCTTTGTAGGATGCAACCACTAGGGGAAGCTGGGAAGGGCACACAGCCTCTCTACCATCTTTCCGACTTCCTGTGAATCTATAATTATGTTAAAACTAAAAAGACAAAAAAAAAAAAAAAGGACAGTAGTGAGTTAAGTGTACAGTACTGAACAGAGAGATCTTTCCTCATAAACTGCATCACTGGGGAAATGCAGGATGAGATTGAGGAGGGAGTTTCTGCCGCACAGGGAGGTCAGCAGGAGGATGGTGTGGAGGATGACTGGGTCCCAGAAGGGGGACCAGTGTCCCCTCAGTTCTTCCACCTTCACCAGTCCTGGCAGCAGCAAGATGTTGCAAACACTGGGCAGGTTGAGAAAGCACCTGGAAGCCTGCATGCCTCTTAGAAAAACCCTGTGTTCCATCTGGTGCCAGAACCCATGCCCTGCTCAGAGAGGCATCTGAAACTCTGGGTGTTGGGCCTGAGGGTGGATCACAGAGTCCCACACACCTTTGGCAAAACAGCCAGAACCCCCTGAGTCCAGAGCAGGTGAGGAAAGACTGCGTAGATAAGTGGGCCAGAAGCAGCCAGCATCAGGCTGAGATGCCCTCTTCACCACAGCCACAGCAGTGACTAGGGACACGAGCAGTAGATACCAGCTCCCCAAAGCCAAGAGACTGAAGGCCCGCCCCAGATCTGCAGGTGCCAGGCTGCAGTGCCCAGAGCCAGCTGATGCAATCACCCTCAGGAGAAGCTGCAGGCATCCCAGGGCAACTTACACCTCTCCTGGCCAAGGGGAGAGAAGCAGGGAGGGGCAACCCACGAGGTTGATAGAATGGTCATCCAAGAGGAGACAGTTAAAAAGCAACTCTGTCTCATTAAAAGTGTCAATATTAAGGGCTTTCTGCTGAAAACAAAGTTGCCCTAGTGTTGAGAGGAAAGCTGGGACAGATGTGGGATAGATCTGGGGTCTCTGCCCACAGGACCAGCCTCCATATCCACCGAATGCCCCCACTGGTGATGCTGGGGCTCAGCCGGCTGCCCAGACCCTGTAGGCAATGGGCCACTTGATAGCTCTCAAGATTTCACAGGCACTTCAAATACAACCAAAGCCAGTGTCCAGGTGGTTCCCTCACACCTGTTCTGCTCCAAGTTTCCTGACCTCCCACTCATGATCTGTGCAAGCCAGAAGTTGGGGGCCATCCTTGACATCTTATCTGTTTTCCCCTTACACTCACTCAAAAAGCCTGGCCACTCCTCCTCACAAAACACATCATGGAACAATCCATTTCCCTTGAACTCGCTGATCCTACTCTGATCTACCTCCTGCTAGGATTTGAAGCCTTCTAACTGGAATCTGCATAACCACAGTAAGTTCTCCCTCCTAAAAAAATGCACAATAATTCCTTGATAGAATCTGAGCATCCATAGCTAAGTTTCCCATATTGTCTCCAAACTGTCTTACATAATTCATTTGAATCTAGTTCTGAACAAGGCCCACACATAATATGTAGTTGTTATGTCTCTTGTCCAGAAAAGTCTCTCCTCACTTTGTTTTTAATGCAATGACATAGTGCAGAAACCTGCTCAGTGTCCCACATGCTGCCTCATCTCCTTGCTTCCTTATGGTGTCCTCTAGCTTGTTCTTCTATCCCCTGGATTTCCTGCAAATGAAAGTTAGCTCTAGGACCACACTGTCCAATACTGTAGCCACTAGCCAAAAAGAGCTATTTAAATTAATTAAAATAAAATGAAATGTAAAATTCAGTTTTAATTTTAATAAAATCCAGTTGTACTAGCCTCCATTAAAGTGCTCAGTAGTCACACATGGCTTGGGCTGCCTTACTACACAATATGGATACAAACATTTCAGAATCATAGGAGTTCTATTGGACACTGCTGCTGTAGAGTTTGGATTAAATTCAAGTTTGACTTTCTTGGCAAGAGTCTTCCATTGGTGTTATTGTGTGCTTCATATCACACCTACCAGGAGGTGTGCATTGTCCAGCCATCCTACTAAGATGGGGATGGTGGGCTCAGTGATGACAGCCCGATTCCTCCATCATAAATCTCTGTTTGCCTTTTAGCTAACAGTTTCAATCATTGATGATCATTGTCTGAATCAATCACTTCATCAGAATTTGGAAAATGGTGATTTGCAAAAATTTTTTCACTTCTTCCATATTTATTATGGACCACAATCTTCCTATAAGAAAAATTTTAGAGAAAGATTTTTAAATTTAAAGCTAATTGCTACTTACCTACTTATATCCTTCAATAGCTTCCCCAAAATTGTAGGACAGGGCCCATACTTCCTTTTTTTTTTTTTGAGATGGAGTCTCTGTCACCCAGGCTGGAGTGCAGTGGCATGATCTTGGCTCACTGCAACCTCTGCCTCCCTGGTTCAAGTGATTCTCATGTGTCAGCCTCCCGAGCAGCTGGGATTACAAGCATGCACCAACACCCCTGGCTAATTTTTGTATTTTTAGTAGAGATGGGTTTGTGCCATGTTAGACAGGCTGATCTCGAACTCCTGACCTCAGGGGATCCGCCCACCTCATCCTTCCAAAGAGCTGGGATTACAGGCATAAGTCATCATGCCCAGTGGGCCCATACTTCTAAGGCCCAGTATAACCTGGCTCTGCCCAGCTCTGTAGCCTGTAATACACGGACTTGTCCTCTCTGCTCCAGCCCCCGGGGTCCTTCCAGTCTCCGAGTCATATGGTGCTCCTCCTGGCTCTGTAAAACCTGCTATCTCTGCCTAGAATGTACTTTCCAGTTCCCTTCGTCTCAACCTGGTTAACTCCTACCCAATCTTCAAGGCTAAAGTCACAGGCCCCCTCTTTGAGAAAGCCTTCTATGCTGCACAGACCAATAGGCTTCCCTGTAACGCTTCCTTTGAGCACCCTCTTTCTCCTCCATAGCCCTCAGCATAACATGCAATTAAATATTCTTTGTGTGTTATACTAATGTCTGTTCTTCCCTCACTAGACTCAGGTCCCTCTAGGCACTGACCATGCCTATCTGGTTCACCATGGTGTCCCCAGCACCAACGGCCTGGCATATAGGGATCCTCTATTCCCTGTTGAGGGAATTTGGTGAGTGAGCTGGAGATTGGTAAGTGGGAGCAGGGAAAGCTGTGAAAGGAACTTGTGCTTATGAAAATGGCCAGGGCAGCATCCTACACATAAACCCCGAGTCTTCCTGAGAGGGACTTCCCAGGGCAAATGTCCACACTGCTCAGAGCCTGAATAGGACTCTCACTGGGTCACAGAACATGCAAACCATGCCCTCAGTACAGTAGACTGAGGGGTGACATGGTCACTGTCCTCCAAGGCCACTTTACCTGGAAGGGCTGTGGGTCACAGCTGTCCTGGGGAGGGAACTGGAGAGCTGTGAACTCAGACTAGTGCAGCAGAAAAAAGTATAAATATTTATATGAGTGGACTATGTATAGTTCAATGCTAACAGATTTGCAAATCTTGGAGAAATGGAATATTGTAAATAAATTAACCAAAATCAATTCAAGAAGTGAAGGCCTTTGAGAAGACCACAAACATGAGCAAAGCTAAGTCATATCTAAAAAAGCTCTGGGCCCAAATGGTTTTATGGTTTTTTTCCAACATTCAAATAATGAGTATGTACTAGCCACACCATATAAACCAATGCCACGTTAACTTCCAGTTGTGGCTGGGGCTCTCAAAGTGTGGTTGCTTCTCAAACAAGCAACCTTGGCATCACCAGGGAACTTACTAGAAATGCAAGCTCTCAGCCTCACCACAGACCTAGAGAATCAGATACTTGGGGGCTGGGCCCAGCCCTCTGTGCTGTAACAAGCCCTCTGAGCTAAATAATGTAAAGTCTGAGAACTCCTGGGGCTAACGGAACATCTCTACTTTAGTGGTTTGGATTTCTCATCCGTCCTTACCCAGATATGGCTAATTCTAATTCTGCCTCACACAGCTCTGTGTCCAGATCTTTGCATTTTTATATTGGGCACCTTATTATTAATCAAAGAATTTTCAGTCCATTTATCTGCAATTTCTCAACTTCTTGTTTTGAAAATTAGGGTCCTTACCAAATGATTTTTTTAAATTATCAACTAATAGATCCTCATTATCAAAACCAGAAAATGCATATAAGTATAAACAAAAAAATATGATAGCACATGATTCTATCTCCCAAAGATAATCTATGTCATTATTTTGGTATGCACACTTCCAGACCTTTTTCTTATGCATAGATAACATTTCTTTCCATCACAAAAAAAGCAATGAGCTTGTATAAACTGCATGGTAACTTGCGTTTTTCATTTCATAATATATCATGGATGATTTTCCTTGTTAATCAATAAACTTTTATTACATTTTTCTCAAAGTCCTCACTGTGTAATTTTCTAAACTAGCCTCCTATTGTTAGGATATTTCATATTGATTAAATGAGTTCATACTGGGAAAGTACTGAGGACAGTGTCTGGCATCTGGTAATTGCTATATAAATAATTGGCTTCAAAATGTGTTAGTAAAAAAGCAACAAAAATATAGAAGAAAATGGCAAATCCACACTCTTCATGGGAGACTTTTTAACACACACTTTTGGAAAACTCCAAATCAAGTACACAAAAAATAGGGAAAGCTATGAGGACTGGAATAGCACAATCAAAAAGCTGAAGGTAGCTAGGTGGAGATGGACCTAGGAGAGCCTGTCCATCCTTTGGTAAGTGTCAGGTGCGTGCAGCACCACAGCAGTGAGAACCTCCACACCCTTCACCCAGGTGCCTACTGTCATGCTGCATTCTCTACCAGGGTCCTCTCCTGACCAGGGCTCATGGCTAACCCAAGAAACCCTTCACAGCCTGCTGTCTGCCCTCCCCACATCCTGGCCCTCAGGCTGCAGCAAAGCTCTGCTGCTCTGAAACTCAAACCTGCCCTTTTAACTAAACCTTCATCATGGCTGCGGTTACTTGGGCCCCCAGGTCGCTGGAGGATGGGACCACCTGACTCAGCCCAGTATCCTCCTGGCCCCAGCTGCAGCCACAGTGGCCTGCAGGCTCCTGGGAGGGGTCCGCTCCCTCCTCGGGAGCCTTGGTAGCTGGGCTGCGGTCTGCCCTTGAGGTCCCTGCCCCCTCCACCTGGCAGGGCTGACTCCCACTCCCTTCAGACCCTCCTCCTGGAGTCATTGTCCCCTGACTTCAGACAAGTAGGTCAATTACACGCCCTGCCCCTCTCCTGGCCAGAGGGCAACACAGTGTGGTGAGTACCTTTGTTGCTGGGATTAAACAGACGGCTGGATTGACCCCATCAGCTTCTCGTGTAAGACAGAGGTGGACCTTTGACAGGGAACCTGATCCCCTCGTCTTCCTGAGCCACACCAGTGGCCTTGCCCCACCCCCTCACATGACAGTGTTTGGCTCCACCCCCTCACGTAAGGGCACCAAGTGTGGGGCCTCAGAACTGCTTCCTGCCCTGGAGCTGCGAGGAGGAGGAGGAGGAGGAGGAGGAGGGGGAGGGGGAGGGGGAGGGGGAGGAGGAGGCGGCTGGTTCATCAGGGCTGGGGCACAGCGCCTGGCTGACCTTGGACCGCGGCGCTGCCGGGACACTGAAGACTGCAGGCTGCCCTCAGGAGCACTTCAGCACTAGAGGGCCTGCTGGGAGAGTCGGGTGTGTGTGTTCGAGATCTCAGGAGAGAGAGCAGCTTTTGTCAGTGGGGTTAGTCTTCTTCCGTTTTTCTTGGATGGGACATCCTGCCTCCCGGACCAAAGCTGACCTTGTTCATCTGCCTCCTTCAGCATCTGGGGTTCCCTAATCAGACCTTCCTGTCCCAGCCCCCGCATGCTCCCTCCCCTCCTGTTTGCTCTCTATCTTACAAACAAACCCAGTCCTCGTTACACACACACACACACACACACACACACACACACACACACACCCCTCTTCCCCACCCTTCCCAGCTGCCACCCCACCTACCCCTTGTCTCCCCCAGAGCAATGTTTCAGGAGAGCATAATTCAGGCTTCCACAGTGAGACTCCCCTACCAGGGAAGGAGACTGGAAGACAAGGGTCAGCTGGTTTGCAGTCTGGTCCTCCACCCATCCCGATCCTGCCTGCTGACACCAGCTCCCAAGTATTTGCCCCTCCTTCACCTAGGAGTGCCTTCCGGGGGTTCCCTTCCACCCACAGCTTCCTGTTCCAGATCCACCATACACAACTGAGGGAGAGAAACAACTTGCAGGGTTGAGGGTGAGTTGCCCTTTTTAAGTTTTCATCATTTACTGCCAAATTGACCTCTGAAGAGATCACGTGAATTTTTGCTCCCACCAGGAAGAGTTCAGCCAGTTTTCCCATTCAGTACTATCAACCTTTTCCATCTTGGCCAACCTTAGTGAAAACTGAGAGTCCTTTCTTTTTGTTTGGTTCTCATTGGTGTCAATTTCATACATGCAATGTAGAATCAAGTAGTATCACAGAACTGATATGAAAAGGAGCTGCCTCCCACCACCCTCCCAACTCTTTTCAGCTAATTATTTGGGTATCTACTTCCATATCTGCAGATAACATGCTAGCACACAGCTTTTAGTCCTAGGCATTATAGAATTTAGCTCATTTTAGAGTTTAGCTCCTTTACACCACCTCAATATGCTTGGACACACCAGGGATTCCACCAATTCCATCCTCCTGAAGCACTCTCACTAGGAACCTTCTGACCTGCTCCATCCCAGACCAGCCTGGCTCACAGCTGTCACCGGGACCCCTTACCTCCCTCCTGCATTGAGTCCCTTGTCTTCCTTTTTCTGGGTTTACCCCCTCATTTTGATGCTGTATATCCTATAGTAGTTTTCCCAGAAAGGAAGGGTACATAAGAGATAAACTTGTGATCCTGCCTATTTTAAAATATATTGATTCTAGCCTCACCCTTAATTTATAATTTTCCTGGGTTCAGAATTCTAAGTTGGAAAATAACTTTCCTTTAGAATTTTGAAGGCACTATTCCATTTTCTTTCAGCTTCTAGGACAGATGTCGAAGTTCAAAATCATTCCAATTCTGATACCTTTGATTTGTTTTATTTGAGGAATGTAAGATTTTCTTTGTACCTACTATTCTCATATTTCACAATAGTATTCATTATGTGGGTCTATTTTCATATATCTACTACACCCTGGGTGGGCTCCATTCACTCTAGAAACATCCTTCAGGTCTGGGAACTTTTCTTGAATCATGTCTTTGATTAACTCGCTCCATTTTCAGTTTTATTTCTGTAACCCCTGTTTTTCAGATGTTAGACATCTAGTGACCCTTTACTTATTTTTCTTCCACTTTTCACTTTTGTAATTTTGTTCTACTTTCTGGGGGTATTTCCTCAGCTTCATTTTCCAATCCTTGTGTGTTTCATTTCAGCTATTCTATTGTTCAAAGTGCCTTTTCCCCATGGTATTCTGTTTTTATTTTAAGGATATAGTCTTACCTTTCTGAGGATATTAATTAGCTTTGAGAGTTTTTCCTCTCTATATGTTATTTGTCCTCCAAGTTTTATTTTTTAGTTTTATTTTGTTCCCTGTCTTTGAGATAGCAGAGCTATCTGATCTAATAATGGCTCTATATTTGGTCCAGTTTTGTGCTGGTCTCTAACTTGCATGCTGCAGGCTTTCTGCAGAAGTACAGAAATGCACAGTTTTTGGCTCATGTGCATAAGTGAGGCACTGAAGGGCTGGTTGAGAGTCCTGAACCTGTGAGTGTGGCTGCAAGATTTGGCTGGGTCTTGCGTTTGGGGAAATGCCAAAGTTACTACCTTTAGATCTTTCCATTGACTGATTAACTGAGACAGTGTCTTACTCTGTCACCCAGGCTGGAGTGCAGTGGTGTGATCATAACTCACTGCAGCCTCGCCCTCCTGGGCTCAAGCAATTCTCCTGCTTCAGCCTCCCTAGTAGCTGAGACTACAGGTGTGCACCACCATGCCCAGATAATTTTTGTATTTTTTGTAGAGACGGGGTGTCACCATGTTACCCAATCTGGTCTCAAACTCCTGGGCTCAAGCGATCCTGCCCGCCTTGGCCTCCCAAAGTGCTGGGATTACTTTTAAATCTTGGTTCAAATTTTCCTAAGAAGGCTCTTTTATTTTCCCACCTGAAGGGAATTGGGCTGGCATGCTGGGAGCTGAGAGGAAGAGAGCTGGGGTCTCAGCAGAACGCAAAGATCTTCTCCCACCCCTGCCTCAGTTTTCAGTCCAGAGAAAATTTGAGTCTCTTCTGCTGGAAGAAGGAAGGGGAGGGCACGTGGCCATGTTTGGGGGAGGTGTGTCTCCCAGCTGGCGACTTGTCAGATAGTCCTTGAAAGTCTAATTGGTCTTCCGCTTTTAGTCTCATCTTCATCCCACTTCACGTCATCTCCAATCCCACTGCCTGATCCAGGAATTCTACATCTCCTGAGTGGCTCTGCAGTGGAGAGCGAGTGGCTTCTCCACATCCCTGCTGCTGGCTGAGGCTTCCGTTCCTCAGCGTCCTCCTTCTGCTCAGTCACTTCCTGCACGGCCATCTGCTTTCTTGCCACCCAAATCTCCTTCCTGTTTTCTCTCACATTATAGCTGTTCTTGTGGGCTAATGGCTTGTTAAATTTCCCTTACTGTTATGGTGGGGCTGGGGAGGGGCCATCATGAGTACATACCTGTCGCCTGCCATCTTTACCTAGAAGTTCAGCCCAGTCTTTTAATTTGAATAAGTTTGAACAGCTTTTCTCGTGTTTATTGATGTCTCATCTCCCCACCCAGCTAATGTGGCTTTCTTATTGCCATCATTTGGTCATTTCTCAGTGGAGTTGCTCATCGTCTTACTATTCAATACCAATAGCTTTTTGTCTTTTTTCCTCATAACTGAACATAATTTCTAACTGCCCCCATTTTGTTTGTTGGGGAAATTTTTCTGAGGAAATCTGATTGTATTCAGAGGTTCCCCATCCTCTGTGCAGTGATGGTTTGCACCTCGAACAGAAGGTTGCATCTGTGTGAAAGTGGGTGTGAGGCTCACCAATGGAAAGCATTATGTGGGTTCATCTGCTATGGTGGGGCTGCACCCCCTGCTCTCCCTCTCCAGTCTCTGTGGCTTCTGGCATCCAGGGAAGCATCCGAATACCTGCATTTACACCTGGATCCTGTCCACACGCTAACCTCATGCCAGTCACTGCACCTCAGGGCCCCCTCAGCTACTTGGGAGGGCAGCTGACTGCTTCTTCCCCTGGGGTGAGGGGATGGCCGTCTGCACCCCTCCCACATCTGTCTTCACAGTCACTGCTCTGGTCAGCAAGGGGGCAGAAATGAGCCCAGCTCCTCTCTCCCCTCAAGCCTGTCCTTCTGGCCTACCCCTCAGAACGTGTCCTGGAAGGAAGGAAGGGGACAGGCCGGAGCACCCCATTTCTTTATTCCTTCAGACTTTTTCTTCCTTTAGCCTTAGACTCTGTCTACTCTTAGGAAGCAGGCATTTTGGAAAGTGTATCAGTCATCTACTGCAAAATCACACTGCATAACAACAACAAAACACCCTCAGAGCATACAGTAAACGCCTATCAGCCCACATACCTGCGGCTTCTGACCAGGACCAGTCGTAAGTGTGGTCTGGCTCTCAGCTGGGGTCAGGCAGGTGTCAGCAGGCAGCTGCAGGCCATTTTGGGCTAGTGCGCCTCAGCAGTAGCAAGATTAGAATCACCCGGAGAAGTTGCCCAGCACTTCGAGGCTTAGGAGACTGAGCCCACCCGTCCTGGGCTCGCTCACATCGGCAGGTCGAGTGCTGTGGGCTGCCCCTGGAGGCCTGGGGTGCCTCAGCTCTGTGCATATGTTTCTCCTACTCTGGCAAGCTGACCTGGCATGTTCTCATGGCAGTCGCAGAGGCACTCATTACTAACACCCCCTTCACCCAGAGCCTGAGTGGGTCACGTGACATGGGGGCAGCTTACATCGAGGGGAAGGATCCGGGCCTCTAATGCGATCAGCTGCCTCAGGAGGTGTTGAGGGACACAGACTCAGATGTGGCCGGTTTCACCCAGACTGTCTTCCCCCAAACCCATGCCTTGCTAGTGCCCTGGTACATTCATGTGTCCGTCGCACCTGGCACTGTTCTGAGCTGTTTCTTCTCTTCACTTCCAACATCTGGTCAGGAAGGATGCTCTAAATGTTCCCAAAGCCTACCTGCTCCCCTCCCTCCCACTGCTTCCCTGGGTTCTAAGTACCATCACCTCTCCCCTGACTCCTGTCCAGCCCCTGACTTTGCTGGTCTCTACCCTCACCCCACTGCAACCAGAGTGCACTTCCGAAACAGACCTGCCCACTCACTGATGCTCTGAGGCAGGTCTCGTGGGGGCCACCCTGCCCGGGAGGTAGGTCGAGTCTCCCTCCATGGGGGTTCCTTCTCACTCTCCAAGAGGAGCCCCTTGCCACCAGTTTTCTTTGTTTGTGGCTCCAGCAAGGAGATACAGCTGTTTTGGGATTTTGCTTCCTTTTCTTCCTAACACCACCTCAGCCCCCCACACAGCTTTGCCATCAGTCCTCTGGGGTGCTTGTGCACCACATTGGGGTGGGGACTGGGGACTCATGGGGATGGGAAGGAATGACTCTTAATTTGACCCAAGACATTGCTTCAAAAAAAGACTGCATGCCCCCCAGCCCTCTCTATCACCATGAGCTACAGAGGGTGGTGTCTTGACCCTCCTGGACACTCTGGGGTGGCCTCACCCCTTCCTGAACCTCTTTTTTTTCTCTTCTAACCACTGTCTGCTCCACAGTCGGGGAGCCAGGAGAGCAAGCCCAACATGTGTCACCAGGCTTGGGGAGAGAAGATCCCTTCAACAATGGGGACAGCCACCTCCTGGGAACTAGCCATGCAGAAAAACCTCTCCCATGCTTCCCAGCCCTGGGAGGAAATCCACATACTCACAGCTGCCTCGGCCTCCAGGGTGGATGTGGGCTCTGCCGGGGGCCTCTGTGCCTGTGTGGGAAACAAATTTCTAACTGACCCGGCCACCTGGCCGGGCTTGCAGACAGCTGTGTCGTCCACTCCTGCATGGGTTCCCCTGACAAGCTTACCTAGTCCCGTGGGCTTACCCATGGGTGCTCTATGGCGGGTATCTCTGGATGGGGTATCCCACTCCAGCTGCTTTGGTGCCTTCGGTGTGGCTGTATCGAAGGGGCCTCCAGCTTTGACCCCTTCATGGGAAGTCAGTACCTGGCTGTCTTGGCTTCCAGCCTATTTCCTCCCCCACCAACTACCCCCAACACCCCCACTGCAAGATTCCCACTCATCTACTTTTCAGCTCCTCCCATTGTGGGCAAGGCTACCTCCAGCCACTGTCCCCAGGTGGGATGCCAGACTCCAGCCAGGGCTGCAGTTGGTGGAGGAGCATCCAGAGGAGCTCCCTACTTGAAGAAGTGCAAAGCCCCTCCCTCAGAATGGACCTCCAGGTGCAGTATCTGGGCGCCTTTGCCCGCTGCAGCTCAGAGCTCTGCCCCCTGCCCCTTCCCCACTGAGGATTCTCAGCTGGACCCTGGCTGCCCCCGCTTCTCCTCCCTGTCACCCTGCAGGGCCTGCCACTGCCTCTTTGAGTGCTAAGCAGCCCTCCAGACCCACCCACCAATCAGAAACATGTCTGGTGGAGCCCAGCCAGCTGTGGACTTTGTTTTTAGAAGCGTCTCAGATGTAAGTTCACTATCCTTAACACAGAGCAGATGCAGGGCTGCTCTATTTGGTATTTTTCTACCTTTTTTTTTCGTTTTGCCCTCTAACCCTCATACCAGCACCTTTTGTCCTCCCCAGCCCTTGTTCTGGGCCAGCACTCTAGTAGATTTGCTATTAAGTCCCCAAATATGCATGCATGCAACCTTGTGAAATGAGCTTTGCATGCATATGTTTTTAAATTACATAAATGACGTGCTATAAAAACTGTTGCTTTGCTCTTTATCGGCAGGCACGATATTTCAGATCGATGCACTGTGCTGTATGTACATTCTGTTTGTGGTTCCAACTGCTCTCAAGGACATCATCCCCCCTGCCTGCTGATGTTGGCTGCCTTCGATTCCCTGCTATAAATACTCCACGGAGAGCCCCGGGGAAAATCCCCACACCACCTTTTAGGGCTTGTGTGAACATTTTTCTGAGTCATGGGAAGATGATGCTTGATTTTATTTGGGACAGCCAGCAGGTCCCTCTCCAGAACAGCTTCTTCCACTTCCTACCTCGGCAGTGCCTGAGCTGCCCCCACACAGCGTGGCCTCTTGCTGGAAGCCCACTTTGACTGTCTCCATGTGGATAGGCACAAAGTGGCAAGCAAGCTATTGTTCTGGTTTGACTTCCTGTCAGCCCTTTGGCCTCCTCTGTCTGTAAATTATATAGAATATCTTTCAGTCATTTTCAGGATTGTAAATTCTGGATATCCATTTTCATTCTTAGGCCATGCAAATGTCTCCTCGGTGTCTGTCAACAAATATGACCTTTGCCGAGCGTTCTCCAAGTGCCACCAAACCCAGCATCAGCATCGCCTGGGAACTTGTGTGAAATGCACATTCTCCAGCCCCACCCTAGATTCTGATTCACAAATTCCAGATGTTGGGCCGACAACCTGTTTTAAGTCCACCAGATGATTCTGATGCACGCTCAAGTTTGAGGACCACTGGTTGCTGCTATTTCTCAATTTTAAAAAATTATATGTATATATATAAGTTTTATCTTTGTATTTTAATTCTATATTATTATATATGATATATAATACAGGTTACTGTTAATATATTTATTTAAAAATATATATGGCCGGGTGCGGTGGCTCACGCCTGTAATCCCAGCACTTTGGGAGGCCGAGGCAGATGGATCGTGAGGTCAAGAGATCGAGACCACGGTGAAACCCCGTCTCTACTAAAAAAAAAAAATTAGCCAGGCGCGGTGGCGGGCACCTGTAGTCCCAGCTACTCGGGAGGCTGAGGCAGGAGAATGGCGTGAACCTGGGAGGTGGAGCTTGCAGTGAGCTGAGATTGCGCCACTGCACTCCAGCCTGGGTGACAGAGAGAGACTCCATCTCAAAAAAAAAAAAATTATATATATATATATATATATATATATATATATATATATATATGACTTTGTAGTAAGTCCTCCTTTTTTTCCCCTTATTTTCCTTCCTTTCTTCCTTCTTGCTTTGCTTTAGAAGCCCCAAACACAACCATGAAAGTCCTTGGTCTCTTCCAGGTTGCACAGATCCCCTCTATTTTTAAATATCCTTACAGTTTTCCCTGGATGTTGCCTGGGAGTCCATCCTTATAGATAATGTTACATAAGGACCTGAACTTATCTTTTTCCAGGTCACTGCCAGGTCCAGTGCTATTAAACAAAGCATCTTCCCTATTGATTCGAGGGCTCATCTGTGTATGTTTCAGGCATTTGTGTGCCCAGGGGTCTGTTCCTGAGCTCTCCAGGCTGTGCCCCGGTCTGTCCCTTCATTCACTCTCTACTTCTGTTTGTTACATTTCAATGCATGTTGGTATCTACTAGGCCAACTCCTCACAGCCACTCTAACCCCTTTTCGCTTTACTTTTTCAGACTTGACAGTGATTTATAGTTCTTTTCTTCTGTATAAATTTTGAAGTGAGTTTGTCTAATTCCTTCAAAGGAATCCAACTAGATTGATTAGGATAAAAATGTATAGATTAAGTTAGAACAAACTGACATCCACCTTGTTAGCTTGCTCTATTCATGAGTATGTTATATTCATTCTTTTATGATCTTCATGGTGTTTGTTTTCCTTTAAAGCATTTATTTCTAGACATGCATATGTTTTCCTTTTTAATTAAAAAAATGTTCAATTGCAACCCTGTAAGTTCTCAGTTTATTCTGTCGGGTCTTATGAGATAATTATCATACATGAAATAATTCATTCAATAAATGCGCATAGAGCATCCGAGGTGTGCCAGGCATTGTCACAGGTGCTGGAGATAGCGTAGTCCAGAAAAGTAAGTCCTTACCAACGAAGCCTTCCATCTATCTGAGAAGAGGTGGGAAACAAATAAATAGCGGCTGGCGGTAAGTCCTGTGAAACAAAGAGTAAGGAGGATGCAGAGTGATGGTGGGTGGGCTCGGGGAAATCCTCACCAAAAAAAGTGACTTGAGCAGAAGCCAGGAGGAAGGGGTGGAGCGGAGGAGAGGGAGGAGTACCTTTGCCTTTTTCCAGGAACAGCAGGGAGACCAGTGTGGTTAGAACGCAGGCAGGGAGGGGTGGAAACAATGTCAGTCGCGGGAGTTGTCTGAGGGTTTGCACAGAGGAGTGAGGAGATCCACCTCAGACTGATGCCGTGAGACCAGACTGAAGGTGGAGGAGGCAGCATGGAAATGGAGACCAGTCAGAAGGCTGAGAGTCTAGGCAAGGTGAGGATGGCTCATCCCGGTGGTGGCTGTGAGGGAGGTAGGTACAGTGTGGCTCAATTCTGGATATACTCTGACGGTAGAAATGAAACATACTGCTGTGTTAGGTGTAGGGCTTGCCAGAGAGAGGAGTGAAATGACTCAAGAGCATTTGGTCTGAGCACCTTGAAGCACGGAGCTCTACTTAGGGAGATAAGAATGGCTCAGGGGGAAGCAGAAGGACCTGGAGCTCTGTTTGTGGCACGTTGAGTCTGTGATGCCTTCTCCAGAAAAACAGGGTTGTTGTGTAGGCAGCTGGATGCGAGTCTGGAGTATGGAGGGCTGGGCTGGGTCGGCATGCACATCTGAGAGTTGTCAGCACAGATGGTTTTCAGGTGTCAGAAGTAGATGAGATTTCCTAGGGAGTATGTGCAGGGCAGGGAGGAAGAGGGACAAAGACTGAGGCTTGGAATTCTCCAACATTTGAAAGTTGAGAAGATAGGGAGAAACAAGCATGGTGAGTGGGACAGGAAACAGGAGAGTGAACGAATTGCAAAAGCGACATTCCTAGCTCTGCCAACTGCTGCCAGCAGAGTGATTCAGACCAGGGCTGGCTTCAGGTTGGAGATGGCAGAGGTCATTCGTGACTTTAATGAGAATATTTTTGGTGGATGATGAGAACTTGAGTTCAAAAAAGCATGAGTCATATTAGATGTTAACACTGGAGTAAGCTGAGTGAGGGAAAACAAATTCTCTGCACAATTTTTACAATTCTTCTGTAAATCTAAAGGTAGCTTAAAATCAAACTTCTAAAAAATAAGTCACATGAAAAAATAGTAATAATAATTAGCAGAACGGGAGCAGAAGAAGCAGAGATGAGATCACAGAAATTTTTTCATAAGGGTTCTTTGTAAAGGGCAGGAGAAACACGGAGTGGATGCTGGAGGGACAGGAGCGGCCGAGGGGCGGTGAAGATGGGGCACACAACAGCATGTTTTCATGCCCACGTAGAGGCTCCGTGGAAAGAAGAAGTGCTGACAAAGCACAGGAAGGGAATGTGGCAGGCATGAAGTCTGCTGGTCCGTAGAGGAGGTGAAGTCATTGCATAGATGAGCAGCAGGGGAAATGGACCCAGTAAACACAGGAGGTTTAACTGCTTAAGGTTCACAGTCACGAGTTTAGGATGAGACCCATCATTATGGTGGTGGGTCTTTGTCTAGCTGTGTTTACCTTCATGGATGCAAGTACAGAGTAGATGGAGGGTTGGGTTTGGCTGGGGCTAGATATTGCCAAGTGGGCCAGAAGGAGAAAGAAAGACATGAGGCATGAGGATGATTAAACAGTGTGATGGAACACGGTGCGTCAGGAGGGTGAGGAAGCCCTCCCAGGGCCCGGGATGGTGGAGAGAAGGCGGGTTCAGTAAAGTGGAGTTTTAAATGACTCAGAGGATCATTGGAGTGGAAGATACTAGAGAAAGTGAGGTGGGAAGGTAGGGGTAACTGATTGGAAATGCTAAATTCATTTAAAAATGGATGTAGTTATTGGTAATGACAAGATGCAGGTTTGGCCACGGGAGTGGGTGGTTGAGATAGTTTGGCGGTGAGATGGTGAAAGTTCCTGGAAAATTATCCGTGTGGATATGGAAATTGCAATTCGAAGCAGGGCAGGAGAAGCGGTGAAGAACACTGCCTGGCCAGCTGCAAGATCATAGGAATTGACGACCATGGCGAGAGGGAGTAGCAGCGGCATAGTCAGATTATACCCTTGGGACAGTGGTGTGGAGGTGGTGGTGAGGACCAAGAAGTACCCGTGGGACACAGAGAGAAAGCCGCCATCACTAAGAGGTCAGCAGGGCACAGGGTCCCTCTGTTTCAGTAGGGATGCTTCAGGGAGTTCTTACTCCTCCCTGGGGATGTCCCAAAACCTTCTGGGGCTTTTCTGATTGACATGGTGTTAGAAGAGTGCTGCTGCCTTTTAATGGGCAGGGACTGCAGACGCTAAATGACTTACGTGTGTCAGCTGTCCCTCCCCGGGGAAGTGCCCTCAGCTTGCATGTCTTTCAGAGGCCCTGTTGATTCTCACAGAGGTGAGAACAATTCGTAGTTACTGAAGACTGACGGGTACCTCATTTTACATATAAACACAAAGTGTGTTTGCTGGTTTTAAGGTGCACCAAATGCTCCTGAATGTGACCTCTGTTCTTTCCTTTCCTGTATATTTTGTGTGGAAATGGCTGTGATCTTATTTCTCACATCCAGACTTAATCATAATAGTAAGGGAGACAGCTGACGACATGTTTTCTAGGGTGTCATGCCCACGTATTTCCATGGGGAAATACACATTTTTCTCCTATGTATGACAAGAGTGGATTGGCCTTTTTAAAAAATGCGTATGTAAGTTACAATCTGACTTTTTTAAAATTGGAAATTATTATAGATTCACAGGAAGTTGCAAATATAGTGCAAAGAGATCCCATGTTCCTCTCACTCATTTTCCCCAGTGGTGACATCTTGCCTTGCTAGAGTACAATATTGAGTCAGCAACTGAAATTGGTACAGTGTATGTGTATACTTCTATGCCCTTGTATCAAATGTGTAGCTTTGTATTATCGCTGCCAGAAGACACATCTTATCATTACAAGGATTTCTCCCATACAACCCCTTTCTGGTCACACCTCCCCTTTCTCCCTGTACCACCATGCCTAACTCCTGGCAACTGCTAACTGTGTTCCATCTCTATAACTTTGTCATTTCACCAATGTTCTATAAATGGGGTCATATAGCAGGTGAGACCATTTATATTTAATGTAATTATTCATATGTTAGGACTTAAATCTATTTTTTTTGTCTTCTATTTGTTCCCTCTGACTTTCATTTCTGTTTTCTTTTGCCTGCCTTCCTATGGATACTTGAACATTTTCTAGAATTCCATTTTGATTGATCTACAGTGTTTTTGAGTATGGATGTTTCATACTCTCCCTGTATGGATGTTTCAGGGGCTGCTCTAGATCTCACATTCCATATAGATAAGTTATCAGTCTCCTGGTGTCAATATTTTACCAGTTTGAGGCACATGTAGAAATCTTACCCTCCCCTGTTTAAAATACAATTGTCTTAAATATTTCCTCTACACTCCTGGAGAACCACATCAGACAATGTTATACTTTCCGCTTCAACTGTCAAACACAATTTAGGAAACTCAAGAAGAGTAGCAGTTTATTGCAGTTACCCTATTTTAGCTGCTTCCTTCCTGAGGTTCCAAGATTCCATCTTTCATCATTTCCTTTCTGTTGAGCCATTCCATTCCTTTCCGTTAGCTATTCTTTGAGGGTGGATCTGCTGGCAACAAATCCTGTTCGTTTCCTTTATCTGAGAATGTCTTGATTTCTCCTTCATTTGAGTTGACAGTTCTTTTCTTTCAGCACTTGAAAGATATTGTGCCGTCTCCCTCCAGCCTCCATTGTTGCTGATGAGAATTCCACACCACCCAAATTGTTTTTCTCTTACCGGTATGGTGTCATTTCTCTCTCATTGCTGTCAAGATTTTTTCTTTATCTTTGGTGTTCAGAACTTTGACTGTCATGTGTCTTGGTGTGGATTTCTTTGGGCTTATCCTGTTTGGCTGGCTCTGCTGCTTCAATCTGTAGGTTTATGTCTTTTGTTAAATGTGAGAAATTTCCGGCCATTATTTCTTTGATCTCTTTTTCAACCACCCCCCACCTTTCTCCTCTCCTTGGACTCCCATAACTGAAATGTTAGATCTTTTGTTACAGACCCGCAGGTCCCTAGGCTCTGTTCAATTTTCCCCTTGTTCAGACTGGGTAATTTCTATTGTTCTGTCTTTAAGTTCATTAATTCTTGTTTTCTCCATTTGGCTGTTGAGCTCATCCACTGAGTTTTAAATTTTTAGTTATTATATTTTTCAGTTCTAAAATTTCTGTTTAGTTCTCCATTATATTTTCTATTTCTTTGCTGAAATTCTATTTTCATTTGTTTCAAGTCTGCTCTTTACTTTCTGACACAGGGTCTCACTCTGTCACCCAGGCTGGAGTGCAGCGGCACAATCTCACTTCACTGCAGCCTCAACTTCCCAGGCTCAAGTGATCCTCCAACCTCAGCTTCCCGAGTAGCTGGGACTCCAGGCATGTGCCACCATGCCCAGCTAATTTTTGTATTTTTTATACAGATGGGGTTTCACCATGTTGCCTGGGCTGGTCTCAAACTCCTGGCTCAAGCTGATCCACCTGCTCAGCCTCCCAAAGTGCTATGATTACAGGTGTGAGCCACTGTGCCCAGCCTCAAGAATGTTCTTAATTGCTCAGTGAAACATCTTTCATGTGGTTGATCTACAGGGTCAGATAATTCCAACATTCATATAATCTCAGTGTTGGCATCTGTTGACTGTACCTTGTCATGTAAATTGAGATTTTTCTAATTCTTGGCATAATGAGTGATTTTTGTTTGTATCCTGACATTTGTGGCATTATGCTGTGAGTATTTGGTCTTCTTTAACTGTTTTGGCTGGCTTCCTCTGACACCAGGCCAGTGGAGGAAAAGGGGGATCACCTAGTTCCAGCCAAGTGGGGCTGGAAGTCCATGCTGTCCACTTGGCCTTCCTTGGCCTCGTGGGGAGGTGTGGTGGGAGTCCAGTCTCCCCACTAGGCCTCCACTGATACCAACTGTTGGGAAGAGGAGGATACCTCATTACCCCTCCCTGTGCAGCCTCCACTGACACTGCAGGGATGGGGACCTTGTTGCAGCCAGGCAGGAGTACAAGTCCCAGGTCCCCACGCAGGCTTCTCCCATAGCCCGGTGGGGGTGGGGAGGGTGGGGGAAGGAAAGGGGGAGGGGTGCCTCCTTACAGCAGGCAATGGCCAAGGCCAAGGCTGCGTCCCCACCCACCTTTGCTAATGGAGTCAGGCTGTGGTTTTTCTATGGGGTTTGGCTGGGGAAAGGTACTTAATTGTCCTCATGTTTTCTGATTTGCTGGGCTGCCTCTTTCCTGGGGCTTTGGCTAGAGATAGGAGGCTTGAGTTCTCTTCTGTCTATTCCTACTGGCACCTCTGGGTTGCTGGCTTTCCCAGCACTCATTCCAGGTTATAGGAGGGAAAAGAAAACTGGGGAAATTTACAGCCAGGTCCTTCCCAGCCCCTGCCTTCTCCCCTCCACGGTTCCGACTCTTCTCATGTTTGTTTTATGAATAACACCCAAGGCTTCTGGCTGTACTTAGCAGGATGAATAGGGAGAAGTGCTCTACTCCAAGTTTGTCTGGAACTGGAAGTATCTGCATGTGTGAATTTTATTCAGAATAATTAAGACGGATGAAAGTGCTATTTAATATTTGGTACAAAAAAGTAGTGTCAGGCCCATTAGGCTTTGGCCATTCATTCTCAAGCCAGAAGGTGAAGGCAGCCTTGGAGATGAGATCTGCCAAGAGGTACTTTGTTGAGGACAGACTCTGCGACCTGCAGCACTGCAGGAGGATGAGGATGCTGTAGGGGGCTGGGACAGCCTAGGCTGTGCAAGGCCTGGCAGGTGGGAGCCCTAGGATCCTCTAGATTCTGCAGTTCCTTAAAAGGAATGTTGGATGGGTTCTGAGGATCTTTTGTACGGACTGTGAAGTTCGGCCATGTGTTGGGATGTGGGGGAAGGAAAGAGCTGTGCATTCTGTTGCACACATGGGGGTGTCGAGGTGAGCCAAGGGGATCCCCTTGGCAGTTCCTCAGTGGGAACTTACAGTGCTGACTTAGAACATTGGTCAGTATCTCCAGGACTAGGTGAGACCTACTTGACCATAATGTGTCAAATAAACTCTTGCATTTGGTGAGCTAAAATGGTACTTCATATTTTCACATCTGTGTTCTCATCTTGTCCACTTCTGACAACCAGAGGTGGATGGACAGGAAGAAAGAGATGCAGGCATACTCAGCACACCATGGCGGCATGGGGTGGGGCCTACCATCACCCTGGATGTGTGTCCTGGTGGGGCTCCATGTTCCAGAGCCTTCCAGAAGCTTCTGCTTGAGGATATTAAATCTCATTGTGTGTCTGGAGGTGGGGGATGGGGGTTCCTATTCTATTCTTCTTGGTATTTCTCAATCTTTTGAAGCTTCTTTATTTCTGCGAAATCTTGGTCATTGATTCTTTGAATATTTCTGTCCTTTCTTCTGTGAGACTCCGGGATCCAGGTGCTGAGGCTTTCTCTGCTGCGCCTCTTCATCTTCCTGGTACCTGCTCCATCACTGTCCTTTCTGCATGCCTTCCAAGCGAGTTCCCCCACCTCATCTTCCAGCTCATTAATTCTGTTTTCCCTGCTATGAAGGCCTTCGTTGTCTCCATTACATTTCCATTCCCAGCATTTTCTTAAGGGGTTTCTTTGAACTGCTTGTTCCTGCTTCAGGACATTGCCCAGCCCTGCTACAGGGACTGATGTGCCACGGGGTCCTGCTCCAGGCTCTGGGTCTCCTGAGCTGCCTGTCCCTGTGTCCTGCACCTGAGTCAGTGCTCCCCTTAGAGCTCTCTGCCTCGGAACATGCTGGCCCAGGGTCTCATTGGTGCCATTTCTCACCCTCCTCCAACTGAAGCCTCAGGTTTGCCCACACCCTGAGTGCCGTCCCCGGCTTGGCGCCCCTGCCCCTCCCCAGCACAGCATTTCCCCATGGCCACGAGCTCCTCTCCCTGGGCTGTGCTCCTGGCCTGGGTGCAAGGGCTGGGAGGAACTCACTCTGCTGCTCCTGGAGCCACTTCTGTCCCACCTTAGTGGGGTGCTGGCATTTGGGGAGGGCAGAAGCTCTGCTGTTTTCCTGGTGCTATGAGCAGAGAGGCCCTCCTGGAGCCATGAGGGAGATGGTGAGTGCCCAGGGCTTTGCCTGGGTGCTGAGAAGTCCCCTTGAGACATCCTTAGCAGGAAGTGAGTTCATGAGGAGAAACCCATGGGAGAGATGGCAGCCTATGTGTGGCACTGTCAGGCTGCCACTGCATCCCTTGGGGGTGGCGGATTCATCCGACACATCGAAGGCTCATTCAGGACCATCCAGCCTCGGGGGCTGCCCTGCCGCACAGGCTCAACTCAACCTGGGGTTGTGGGTGCCTCAGAGAAGACAGCATCCTCCAGGCCAGATCCACCAAATTTCAAACCAAAACCTGAATTGAATGTCAAAGGGACAGGCTTGGCAGTGTGGGAGGCATGCATGGGGCTCAGTCGTCCTCCTCTGACCATTCCTCCCCAAAGCTTCGTCCTGCCTCGACCTGATCATGTGTTTGTTTTTTTTGTTTGTTTTTAGTGGACAAATCATAATTGCCTATATTTATGGGGTACAATGTGATGCTTTGACATATGTATACAATGTGGAATTATTAAATCAAGCTAATGAACTTAGCCATCACCTCACATACTTACGTATTATGGTGAGAGCAATGGAAACGTAATCTCTGAGCAATTTTGAAATAGAGGTTACTATCGGCCTTTCCTTGCCGGTGTTTCCCCCTCTGTGGAATGGGGAGGGTGGTGCTGATTTCAGCGGCACCTGCTTACAGGGTTAGCAGCTCATGGAAAGCACCTGCAACTGTGGGTGCCTGGAAAAGTGAGCCACAATCTCATTTTCCCACCTCCTGCTGCTGACCGCCACCAAGGAACCTCAGGGGACAGTCAGACTTGGGAAAGCATGGCATCTTAGCCCTCACGCCGTCTGGTGGGTGGTTAGTGTCTTTAGTGTCCCCCATCGCTCAAGTCAGCCCGGGGCACAACAGCCACACAAAAAGCTCTATGGCCATGAGGCGTGTGCTGTGACCCATCCAGCCCTAGCAGAAACCCCAGGATATCAGAGTGCCTGGATAACAGCCCCGCAGGGTGAGTGACTTGTCCAAGTCACACAGCAGCTCAGAGCCTGGAGTTAGCCCAGGCGCCTCCCCCAGGGTCCCCACCTCTCCCCACAAGCTCCACTGGGATTCCCCTCCAGTGTCCCTGCTGTTCTTTCTGCAGGTGAGGGAGGTGAGGCACTGCATGGACACAGGACTGCACTGCCCAGAGCCTGCGGGCCTCCTCAGGGTCTGGCCTAGGGTCCTGGGGCTGTAAGCAGAGGGTTTGAGGTAAGGCGTGGGGAGTCTAGGGCTGGTGAATGGCCCGCTCGGGGGGTGCACCCACAATGACTGTGCTGCTGACAGTTGTACGGAGCCTGGGGGACACGACTTCCTTCCCACTGCAGTGGTTGAGCTGCCAGGTAGCTTGACTGGGGCCTCATGCTGGGCTCTGGCCTCCCTTGCTCCCAGGTCACAGCAGGCTTTTGACAACTCTAATCCACAAAGGCTGAGACTAAGTGAGATCTGTGTCTGCCATGGGAGCTCTCAGGATTCCCAAACAGTCCCAGAGTGGTTGGGACTGGGGGTGCAGCCCCCGAGGAGAGTAATCCTCTTTCCGTCCATCTCAGCCCCCAAGTCCAGCTGGCCGCTCATGCAGGCACAGCCACATGCTTCCTCATGGCGCTGCTGGAGGGAGGGTCGGGTGCAGCACCTCTCAGCTCCTGTGGGGCTGCTCAGTGCCTCAGGGCCCAGAGGACTTGGCACAGCCACCATCAGCCACTTTGCACATGTCCAGGCAGACAAGCTTCAAGAGGCCCTCCCTGGCGGGTTAGCAGCAGGTGGGCCTCACAGTCCTGCCTGCACTCCAGCCTCCGGGGCCAACTGATGGACAGGCTGAGCTCCGGTGTTCCCCAGCAGGGAACACCAGCTTGTCAAGTCTCCAGTTAATTCCCGCTCTTGATAAAGCCCGGGGTGCCCCCACGCTGGCCAGCATGAGGGTCTCCATGCAGCGTGCACATGCCCGCACCCTGTGTCCCCCTCAGCCAGGTGCACCCTATGGCCTCTGTGTTTCACAGGCCTTCTGCCCCCACCCCAGGCAGTGTGATCCTGCCACATGTCGGGTCCAGATGACATTAGCTGCTAAAAGGTTTGTAGTGAGTGCCCGCCTGGTGAGTGCTGTTTCAGCTTCATCAGGGGGTATCTTGAGAGCAAGGTGCAGACCAGATTCCTCCTTGCATCCTGAAGTGTAGCACACAAATATTCTCCAGTGGGGCCGCACCAAAGGCAGTTCACAGGCCCATGGGGAAGTTGGTTAAGGTATCGGCCCTCTGGCCTTCTCCTGCATAAAGGCTCGCTCTGGCAAAGGCAGATGTTCCAGCACATCACAGCCACCACCACATCCTCCCCACCAAAGCCTGGACAGAGGACAGCTTAGGGCACAATATTCTAGCCAATCAACAGACCTCCAGTGGTGATTTCCCAGGGATAGCCCACTCTCAGCATCTGTTATGCAGATTAACAAGCCACCAATTCCACCTTTGAAAACTGATTTCTAACCCTTGTAAATAAAGCAAACTGGCCGAGCCTCTGGGGTGGATGACACAGACAGATGAGGTACCAGTGGCAGCCACTTTGCAGTGTGACTTTTCTTAGGAAACAATGGCTGCAAGGCCAGAGTCTGAATACTTAACTAGGCCACACGCCTCTGGGGTGTTACACCACACAGCCCATAGGCATGATGTCATTGCTGAAATGTCACAGAGACCTTCGGTCATAGGCATCCTAGGGCCATTCTAGTCTGGGCCTCACAGGAGGGGCTGTGGGTTGTGGTCACTCTGCCCACTGCTCCCTGACCTCCAGCCCGGGCCTGGCTCCTGAGCGTGAGCCCCGGGCCCCACTGCAGCCTGGATTCTCCACCTGCCATCCAGCTCAGGCTGGACACCTGACGACCATCCTGGCAGCCTGCCTGCTTGCGGCTCCCCAGTCCTCACTCCTGCCTGCCAGCAGCGACTGAAGGTGTTGGCATCTGTGACTTCGATGGGGCCGGCAGGGTGGGCTTCCCCAGCCCTTTCTCTATTCACACAGTCAGAGGGAACGCTGCAGCCCGTACCCTCGCCTGCTGTCATGTCTGCATCCTGCCTGCTCACACCCCTCGTGTAGGGGCACAAGATCAACTGGGCCATTACCTCCTCCAGAAGCTTCCACAGTGGCAGGGAAGATGGGCTGGGAACCAGGCAGCCACAGGGGTGGGTGTGCAAGAAGCGTTCAGGGGAGCACTGGGGGCTGCACGGGAGCAAGTTGGGGGGCAAGTGGCTTCCCTGGGGTGACAGGGATTTGGTATTTTAGATGCCTTGGCTGAGTGACCCTAAAGCCTCTGGCCTCTTTGACTCAGTCCTGGCCTGTAAAGTGGCGATGACAAGCAAACCTCCTCAAGCTGCTGTGCTGGTGAAGGTGCTCATAGGCACAGGCCTCAGCATGTGGCCAGCAGCTGGGGATCAGTCCTTGTCAGCTGCTGCTGTTCTTCTCATGACCGCTATCATTGTTAGGGTAAGTTGGGGAAGGCCGGCTCTGTCTCTTCTTACAGTGGCAGAGGCCCTAACCTCTTCATGCCTCAGTTTCTTCATCTGGAAAATGGTGCTAGTGCCACCCATACTGCAGGATTAAATGTGTGAACTGGGGTGCAGTGCTTTCCTCCCACACAGTGTGGGTGCTGGCACCCTTGGTCTGCCTGGGAGCCAGGTTCAGGGGCACTTGTGCTGGGTACACTGGGCCAGGCAGAGCATCACTGGGACTCGAGCAAGGGAAGGCCATGGTCAGAAATGTTTCACACGATGCCTCTCCAGAAAGAAAAAGGGCAGCTCCTCCCATCCAGAAGCTGGCCAGGCACTTACAGCTGGGTCCACTCTATTAGACGTTAACCATTGCACAGAAGACCAACCAAGGCCAAGGTCACTGAGACATGATGACATGAGACAAAGCAAGGCCACTTCATGATGTGTCTCTGCCCAAAGTGAGGTCACTTGCTGTGCCACCCACAAAATACCAAGCAACCACTCTTTCAGCCAAAGTAAGCAACTGCCACTTCTGTCCCCCTGACAGCCTGTCTACATGCACCCCCTCTATAGATAGGATTTAGCCAGAAACCCAGTCGTGGCATTGACCCACTTTTTGCAATAGCCAATCTGAGCCAACCCCTGTGCTTAGAGTCCCCAAAATCACCCAAACCCAGGGGTAGTTTCTTTCTAGCACACCACCCGGGGCCTGGACAGTGGCAGGCCTGCTCCGCCCTGCAGCTCAGCCCTCTCCAGGCAGGTGTGCCAGCCCTCAGAGGCCCCCTCTGCTTCCCACTGCTGCCCTTCCACAGGGCACAGCCTGTCCCTCCAAGAGACAAATCCCTCGAAGTTTTATAAACCAAGCGAATTTAATTCAGAGAATAAGTTCTCTGGGTGATGGAATTGCTGGGAAGCCTGATGGGACAGTGATCAGCTCGGTCAACCATGGCCGGAAGCCACCATTGCTGCAAGGCTGAGGAGACAATGGAGGGAAATGATATTGCCAGGACCTGCACGTCAGGGCATCGAGAGGGAGCCAGGCCACAGCAGGGGCTGCCCAGGGGAGCCAGAGCCCAAGAGGCAGAGAGAGGAGGGGAAGACACCCTGGCTTCTCCCCTTCCTCTCACCCTCTCGCCAACGCCTGCCAGGAAGCCACTTGGCAAGGGAGCCTGGGAGCTGTAGGTCTTTCGTGCAGAGCCCAGCAGAAGGACAACAGGGGCAAACTGATAGCTGCCCAGCCCCCAGGCCCAGGGCGAGGTGTGTGCACCCCTGCCCCTGCCCCTGGCCCTGGCCCTGCCTCTGACCCTGCCCCTGGTCCTGGCCCTGCCCCTACCCCTGTCCCTGGCCCTGGCCCTGCCCTTGAAAGTCGACTCCTTCAACCCTGGGCCATGTGAGCATCTCACAGGGGAGGCTGGGGCAGTCCAGGCCGTTGGTAGAGGTTAGGGGGACAGCTTCCCTGGCTCTGGCCAGCCAACATGTCCAAGAGAGGAGCTGCCCAGAGGTGGAGGGTGCCCCATCCTCAGGGTGTCCTAGGGGAGGCCAGCTGGGCTTCAACCCCAGCACAGAGATAGAGTGTGAGTGGGGAAACTGAGTCAGAAACCTATGAAGAAGGGAGCCAGGGACAGGGTGCTCCTGTTGCTCTTCCAATGCTGGGTTCCACCGACTGGGAAAGGAAGCAGAGACTTCATTTCTTATCTCTGCCCCGTACCCTGGGCAGAACCGAAACTCCATGTGGGGAACTTGGGGCAGACAGGAGTGGATGTGGCTAAGGCCAGAGATTCTAGGTCTGTCCTCCAGAGCTCAGGCTCTGCAACAAGGGGGAATCAGGGACCCAGTGTGCTTCTTGTGGCCTCTTAGAGCTGAGGGTTGGACTGTAACACCAACACCTACCAATCTCTCTTTTTAGCAAAGCAAGTCTAGGCTTGAGACCGACACCTTCAGCCAGTCAGAATGTAATCACATTGTTCTGTTTTCACTGTATCTAGTTTTATATTCTACATCTGGTAAGTGACGCTGAAATTTCCTTTAGTGATTAGATTTAACATGTAGTGCATCTATTGAAAAGGCGTTACAGCCGTGCACAGTGGCTCATACCTGTAATCCCAACACTTGGGGAGGCTAAGGCTGGTGGATCACTTGAGCCCAGGAGTTTGAGACCAGCCTGGGCAATACAAAAATTAGCCAGGCCTGGTGGCACATATCTGTAGTCCCAGTCACTCAGGAGGCTGAGGTGGGAGGATCACCTGTTTAGGGAGGTTGAGGCTGCAATGAGCCATGATTGCACCATTGCACTTCAGCCTGGGTGTCAGGAAGAGACCCTGTCTCAAAAAAAAAAAAAAAAGGGGGATTATATGGAGTAACAAAAGCTAATTTAAAATAAAATATATCACCTGTGACTCAAGTCTTGAAAAAAGTATTATATAAAGTACAAGAACAGGGAGAAGCTCTAATGTGGGCATAGGAATGCCAGGAGTTTGGAAAGGAATTAACTATCTAAATATCGCCCTGTGGAAAGGCAAGTGCATGAGCCTGTGGAGGGTGTGAGTGGAGGTGAGGTGGAGGGCGTGCAGGCTGGTGGCAGGACAGGCCCAGGACCAGCTTTGCCCCTGCTCTGTGCTGTCTCCACTCCTGAGTGGTTTGGCACTCACGCCGGCCCACATCTGCTTTCCTCCCCTTCCTGGTTGTAGCACACGGCTCATCACTCCTGACCCATAGAAACACCAGCCTCTTGTGCTCCTTGGAGGAAGTGGCTCTGGAGGATGGCTGTTAACCTCCAAAATGCCCCACCGGGCTCCAAAGTGAACTCTTGAGTTTAAATGGGAGAGTCCTGAAGATGTTCTCCAGCTTTGGCACCCAGATAGATGCCTTCAGCAATGCTGGTGCAGTTAAATGGTTAGACAGTGCACGGTCCCTACGAGGATATCCCGTCATAACCGGGCGCCCTTGTGTCTGCTGAGATGGTACACAGGCGCATTTGGACTTGCTCAGGGTGTGGCCAGGAGCCCCAGGTCAGCAAGGCGTGTTCATACTGGGGAGCTCAGGCAGGGTTCACAGCGGCAGCTCAATGAGTACTGGGTGGGCTCCTGTCTTGCCCATGGTGCACAGCACGTGTGTGAGCTTTGTATGGGGGCAGTGATGGGGTTAACAGTCTGAGCAGGGTGAAGAGGCCGAAGAAGAGGAGGATCTGATGCCCAGATGCTAAGTTCTGGGCCCAATGCTATGGCGGCCCCAAGCCTGTCCAGGCAAGAGCTGCACTGTGGGATTCTGCTGCTGATGCCTGAGGCTGGGCTGAGGTAACCTGGTCCCCCACAGGGACTGAAGCTCTAGGAGCTCCTCAGCCCTGTCCAACAGGCAATAAGGAATATACCACCTACCAAATTTGTGGGACAAAGCTAAAGAGGTGGGTATTCTGAAGAAAATGTATAGCTTTAGGTTCATCATAAGGGAAAAGAGAAAACACTATGCATTCCACTGAGGTGTAAAAAAATAGCAACAGAACAAATCCATGGAAATAAAATGAAGGGACAAAATACAAAAGCAGAAATCCATGAACATAGAATGACAAAATAGTAAGAGTGAAAAAATGATTTCTTTGAAAAAAACTTTGATAGACAAAACATTGAGAAGATCGATTAAGATGAGAAAAGATGCATTTAAATAAAACATAGAACTATTATATAAAAGAAATATAAAAACTACTAATACAAAAATAAATGTGATAAGCAAAGTGGTAACTCCTTTATTCCTTAAAAGTCCCAGGAGGCCAGGCATGGCGGTTCATGCCCAGCACTTTGGAGGCCGAGGCAGATGGATCATCTGAGGTTGGGAGTTCGAGACCAGCCTGAACAACATGGAGAAACCCTGTCTCTACTAAAAATACAAAAATAGCCAGGCATGGTGGCACATGCCTGTAATTCCAGCTACTCGGGTGGATGCAGCAGGAGAATCGCTTGAACCCAGGAGGCGGAGGTTGCGGTGAGCTGAGATTGCACCATTGAACTCCAGCCTGGGCAACAAGAGTGAAACTCCTTCCAAAAAAAAAAAAAAAAGTCCCAGGAACAGGTGGTGATTATAGGTGATTTTTCAAACTTTCTCATAAACAGACTCCAGAAATTTCTTTTCAGAGGAAAAGCTGTGAAATTTAGTTTTTGAATTCAAAAGTGGTAAGGTCAACACAAGAAACATACCTAGATTATGTCTCCCTTATGTAAAATATCCTAAATAACACATCAATAAACCAAATGCAAAATATATTGCAAAATATATTGCAAAATACAAAAATATGGTCAGATTTAGTTTATCTCAACTGCAAGGAGATTGCAGTTGCAAGGATGATTCAACACAATCCACTGCATTATTAGCCTACAGAAGATAACAAAATGATTAATACAAGATGACAGTAAATACAAGAAAAATACTTTGATAAATTTCAACACACAACACACATCTCTATATAACTGAAAGATCAGGAAACCAAAAATTATAGTTAATGATATAAAAGATTTAAACTATACAATTAGCAACTTGATCAGAACTCTTCCATATATGGACATATAAAGAACGCTGCAATGAAAATGTACTTAACATGTTTACAAAATTTACTGGGTTTATAATATCTATAAATTTCAAAGAACTGGTTTTATATTGCATTCTCAAGCAATGGAATCAAGTTACCATCAATAATAAAAAATGACCTTAGTGAACATGTTGGTGTGAGTGTCCACAAGCCTTTGAAGATTTTTTCCTGTTCTGAAAGTTGTCCAAAGTGTGTAAGTCTTCCTTGTGACTTAGAATCCCATGAGGAAAAAAAATGGAATGATACTTTCAGGAAAATCTGCTGACCTAGGACAAAGAGTCAGCAAAAATATCCTTTAAAATAGAAGGCACAATTAAGATGTTTCCAGACAAACATAAGCTGAAAGAATTCCTCATGATTCAAAGCATGGAAGTAGTTCTTCAGGCTGAAAGAAAATGATTCCAGGCAGAGGCATCGAGATTTTGGCAGGAAAGAAGACTGCTGGAAAGGCAAATATATGAGTAATTGTATAACAGCAATGGCTGTAAGTCTCAAACAATAATGTCTTGTGAAACTACCAACTTAAATAGAAGGCATTACAACAATAGGGCAAAAGCAGAGGGAAGAATGGAGTTAAAACTGCTGGAAGGCTCATGCATGATTTGGAAAAGTGGTAAAATACAAATATAAAGTAGGCTATAATACATCAAGGGTACATATTTTAATCTCTAGAGTAACCACCAAAAGAATAATACACTAATGTGTAACTAAATAGTAATAGAGGAGGTACAATGGAATAATTAAAAAATACTTTGAATATTATGAAAGATGGCAGGAAAGGAGAAATAAAGGAACAAAGAGCAGAGGGAACAAAGAGAACACAAATAGTGAGATAGTAATGGTAATGGTATCAGGTCAATGATAGCAGTGATTCTGTTAAATATAAATGGTGTAAACAATCCAGTTAAAAGACAGAGACTGTCAGACTGGATTGAAAAAACCAAACCATCGACCTGCTGTTTATGAAACACTTAAGAACATGAAGTGATTGAAAGTAAGGCAAGCACTAACCAAAAGAAAAGTACACAGGCAGTGGTGTCTACAGCTAATGGATCACAGGCAGTTATAGATTTCTTTGTTCACTTTCCACCCTCACTGCTTCACTTGACTAGCCTGAAAAGGAAAAGTGGAATGAATATATTATCATCACACAAAACAGATGTTAATGTTAGAAGCATTGAAAGATGTCAAGTGGGACATCTTATAAAAAAGACAAATCATCCTTTGTCCCAAATTTGTTATATACCTAATAACATAACTTTAAAAATATAAAGCAAAAATCAACAGAACTAGAAGGAGAAATAGAATAAGTCACAATCAGAGCTGGAGATTTTAATGCCAACTCTGATGAAACAAGAAGATAAAAAGCAATAATAACATATATTTGAACAAAATAATTATCCAATTTCACCTAAATGACATATATGGAATATTATACCCCTAAATTGCAGAATTTTTAAGTACATGGGAAAATGTACTAAAATAGGCCAAAGGCTGTTCCACAAGCCAAGAGGCAACAAATTTCAAAAATTAATTTGAAGTAGATTATAGACCTAAGTATAAAATGTAACACAATAAACCTTCAAGAAAAAAATATGAGACTATGTCCATGACCTTCAGGTAAGCTATTAAACAGGCTTTTCAAAGCACTACCCAAAAGAGAAAATATTAATAAAAATTGGATATCCATAAAATTTACAACTTCTGTTGATTGACACGTCCCATTTTAAAAGTGAAAAGCCACAAAGAAGATATAAGCAATACTTGTATCTGACAAAACATTCATGTATAGAATAAGTGCACACACACCACATACCCCACAACCAACCCAAGGAAAAAAAACCTGGGACAGTCACTCCACAAAATAGGATATATAGATGGCTATGTGATCTATCCTAGGTTTTTTTAAAAAGCTATCAAACACTGTATATTGTTGGGGCAACTGGGAGTATTTGAGTATGTTCTGAATAATAGACATTAGGGAATTATTAATCTTGTCAGGTATGATAATGATAAGTGGTAGCGTAGGAGAATGCTTATTTTTGAGAGGTGCAGGAGGAAGTGTCAGACATCTGTGATTTACTTTCAAATGGTTTAACAGATAGACAGCCCTACAAATGGATAGATAATCCATATGCATGATACTATGCGTAAGTGTATTTGTTTGTATGAATAGAGACCAAGAGATAAAACAAAGGTTGCAAAGTATTAACAATTGTATACAGATGGGGGATATATGGGTGTTCCTTCTACTACTCCTTATAATTAAAATTCTTCAAATAGAAATGTAAAAATGTAATTGCGGTAGTCCCTCCTTATCTGAGGGGAGTATGTTCCAAGACCCCCAGTGGATGCCTGAAGCCACAGATGGTGCCAAACCCTGTATACACTGTTTTTCCTATACATACCTATGGTAAAGTTTAATTCATAAATTCGGCACAATAAGATCAATAATAAAACAGAACAATTATAACTATATGCTGTAATAAAGTTATGTGAGTGTGGTCTCCCTGTCTCTCAGCATCTTATTATACTACAGATCTCAGCAACCTCAGCATACTATTTTTTCCTTCCTTATTAAGTGAAGAACTTTCACATTTTCACTTAAAGAACGCACTTTATGGCTTCTCTTTGGCCTATGTGAATTGCCAGCAGCACTCCTCTAGCGCCTTGAGGCCACCATTAGATAAAACAAGGGTTCCTTGAACACAAGCAGAGGTACCCCCACTGTGGACCTAATAACCAAGACGGTGGAGTGACTAACAGGCAGGTGATGAAGTCAGCGTGGAACCTGAAGACAGCATGGAACTCTGGACAAGGCAGGCTCCATTCCCAGGGCAAGACAGAGATCTCATAACACTACTCAGAATGGTGGCCCCTTTAAAACTTAGAAATTGCTTATTTCTGGGATTTTTTAGTTAATATTTTGAGACCAAAGTTGACTGTGGGTAACTGAAACCTCAGAAAGCAGAACCGAGGATAAGGAGGGACTGCTGTATACCTCAGGAAAGCTGAGAAGAAAATGTAAAAACAGATTATGAGAGGGAGCCCCACACGTCCTCCCAGCTCCCTGCAAGCAGCTCTCTGCAGGCTCTGCCCCATTTAGCAGGTGGCTTTGGGGGCTCTGTGCTCCTTGTTGGGCATGGGGGAGCTCAGCCTGTGGAAGACTTTGGCAGCACCAAGGGGCCACCCAAGTGTTTTGGGGACACTGCAGGAAGCAGTGGTCAAGCAGCCCAACAACCCGGGCTGCCCCCATCCTCCATAGCCCCTGGAGGGCCAGCCGTGTGTGTACCTGTCATCGACAGTCTCCTACATTTGCTCAGTCTTTTGCAATCAGCGTAAAAAGAGAAAAGCATCTGGCATGAGCCTTGCTGCCCTCATCCAAGAACATGAAGTTCATAAGAAAGCTTCAGGCTGTGTAAAAGGCACTTGCAGAAACAGAACCATCTTGAGAAACCACCACTCTAGAGAAGGCATCATCCAAAACACAGAGCCAAGAGAAAACTACGGAGAGCAGAAGGGGTGATCTTCAGGCTCGAGGGAGAAATCAATTCCCCAGTGCTAGTCTGAAGAGCTCCCTCTCCCCTCCCCAGCTGAGGGTCTTGGAGACCTGCAGCCCTGTCCCTCCGCACCTGCTCCAGGAGGTTACATGGGTGCCTCATCTCAGGCTGGGTTTTCCTAGGCTATCATGTCCTGGAGACAGAATTGGGTTTCTTCAAGGTTAATTCAACCTTCTAATAGATCAATTATTTCAAATTCCAAAAGTATACCAAGAAACTTGGCAATCTTTCTCCTCCCTTCAATATGTATTATTAATGATTTCTCCTTCACCATCAGCATAAGATCAGCAAAAGGTATACAAGCACTGCCACTCAAGAGATTCAAGTTTTGCTCAAAGTGCTGTGGATGAAGCTATAGTTTTTTGGGTAGTGCACATATTATTGGTATGAATATTGTAAGTGAATAACTTCCATACTAATGCTCTATCAATATCATATAGACATTATTTTAATTCTCATTAGTCCATTATAACAGCAATGATAATTGGAATACTAATTGGAATATTATAGAAATTCTATATGAGACTTTTAAACTACAAACAATTTTGGTTTGTCAGGCTATAAGAAAATAAAATTTATTTGATTTTCCTTAATAGTGATTATTTAAAAAGATAAACAAAAATATCATATATCATAACTGTAGGATACATTTTAAAGTAGTATATTTAGAGGGAATTTTATAGCCTTAAAAACTTGTAATAGAAAAGAATCAAGCCTAAAAATGAACTAGCTGTTATTAACTTTAAGAAGTTACAAAACAAACAAGCTCACAATGAGAAGACACTTCAAGACACAGAATCACTGAGTCGAAAATAGATACTAATAAAACAGAAAAATCCATGGGAAATTTTCTATACAATATTTGAAAAGAAAAGTAGGGGTACAGCCACTATAGAAAACAATATAGAAGTCCCTGAAGAAATTAAACCTAGAAGTACCATATGACCCAGCAATGCTTCTTCCGGGTATGTACCCAAAAAAGATGAAATCACCACCTCATAAAGATACCTGCACTCCCATGTTCATGGCAGCATTATTTACAATAGCCAAGATATGGAAACAACCCAAATGCCTATCAATGGATGAATGGATAAAGAAAATATGATTATATCCATATATATATAATGGATATAGAGTATTATTTAGCCTTTAAAAAGGAGATCGTGCCATTTGCCATAACATGCATGGAGAATGATGAAATAAGTCAGACACAGAAAAAAAAATTGCACAGCTTCCCTTATATGTGGAATATTAAAACAGAACAAAGAGCTAAAATACAGAGATAGAGAAAGAAGCAGTGGTTCCCATGGGCTGGGAGTGGGGAAACCAGGATATGTAAGTCGAAGGATACTAAATATACATAGGCTGAGCAAGCCTAGAGCTCTAAGGTACAGCATGAGGAATAAAGCTAATGAAATGGCATTGTACTAGGGGTTTTTGTCAAATAAGTAGATTTTAGCTCCTCTTATCACCAAAAAAAAGTAGCCGTGAGATGACAGATGTTAGTCGGCTTCACTATGGTAACCATTTTACTACCTGTATGTATCCCATAACATCACGTTGTAAACCTCAAATATACACAATAAAATTTTAAAGAAAAATGGAATACAGCACATAACAAGAAATACAGCAAGAAATAGTATGGAAAACACGCTAATAAATTTGAATAAGCAAAATACACTATACATATATACAGATATGGCTAGGTCTTAAACTAATGAATGAAAAATTGGAGAAAACATGATTTATAGCATAGTATCATTTATTTAAAAATTTTTAAAAGCATGCACTGTACATTTTACTGGTGTGTGCATTACCCCAGAAGGTGCTGATGGGGTGAGGAGTGAGAAGAGCACACCCGCAAGGACCCAAGGGCACTAGCGCTCTGAACGAGTCAGCATTTCCTACTCTGTGTCCACTGGAACAAACAGGTTTTGGAAGCTTCTAGGCAGAGCCCACAGCACGTGCTCACTGGATTCCATGGGTTCCAAAGTGCTTGAGTGTGTGGTTCCCTGGAGGACACACCAATGCTGGAAGAGACAGCAGCAGGCCCCACAGGGTGGCCAGGGATGCGGGGATCCTGCTGAGGGTCTTTGCTGAGGAGGGGCAGAGAGAGTCCTGGGCTGGAGGGTGGCACAGGTGCCCAAATACCAAACCTGGAGGCCTATTCTAACTGAGCGCTTCTACAGGTTGGATTGAGCTTAAATAAGCTCATTTTACAAGGTTGCATGCATGCATGTTTGAGGACTCACAGCAAATCTACTAGAGGGCGGGCCCAGGACAGTCTGGGGAGGAGAAAAGGTGCCAGTATCAGGGTTGAAGGGCAAACAGAAAAACAAAGTAAAGAGAAATAGCAAATAGAGGGGCCTTGCATGAGTCCAGGAGGTGTACTCTGTACTGAAGAATAGTAAACAACCTACATCTGAGACTCTTCCAAAAACTTAAAGTCCACAGCTGGCTGGGCTCCACCAGACATGTCTCTGATTGTTGGGTGGGTCTGGGTCTAGAGGGCTGATTAGCACTCAAAGAGGCGGCGGCGGGCCCTGCAGGGTGACCGGGAGGAGGAGCGGGAGCAGCCCGGGTCCAGCTGAGAATCTTCAATGGGGGAAGGGGGCAGAGGGCGGAGCTCTGAACTGCAGCAGGGCAAAGGTGCCCAAATACCGAACCTGGAGGCCCATTCTGAGGGAGGGGCTTTGCATGTCTTCAAGTAGGGAGCTCCTCTGGATGGCCCCTCTACGGCAGCCCTGGGGGCTGAGCTGGCTGGAGTCCAGCATCCCACCTGGGGACAGTGGCTGGAGGTGGCCCCGCCCAGAGTGGGAGAAGCCAAGGAGTAGGTGGGTGGGAATTTCATGGGGAAAGGAAATAGGTTGGGGGCCAAGGCAGCCAGATACGGACTTCCTATGAGGGGGTCAAAGCTGGAGGCGCCCCTCCAATACAGCCACACTGAAGGCACCAAGGCAGCTGGAGGGGGATAACCCATCCAGAGATACCCACCATAGAGCACCCACGGGTAAGCCCAGAAGGCTGGGTAAGCTTGTGGGGAAAATCCCATGCAGGAGTAGATGACAGGCCAGAGGGCCAGGTCAGTTACAGGCTGGGCTCCCAAGCAGGTACAGGAACCATAGGCAGAGCCCATGGCCACCCAGGGGGTTGAGGCTGCCAGAGTCCCGTGGGCTTCCTCGGAGGCCTCGAAGGCACGGCGGACCTTCTGCTCTGCTTGTTTCTCTGATGCACCTGTGCCCATCTTAGATGAGCTGTGCTCTTCAAAGCCCCGAAGTGTCTGGCAAGTGCACTCCTCTGCAAGCTGAGGCCACACGCACCTCACGGGGCTCCTGGTATCTGTGGGGTGAGCAGACAGCCAGTCAGAGGGCAGGGAGACCAGGTCGCACAGGAGGGGATGGGAGGAGGGGGACAGCTGGGGGTGAGGTGACAGAAGAGCCAAGATCAAGGCATCTCCAGGGAGGATGGGGAGCAAGGTGTCCTGGGTAGGAACGAGTGGCCCCTGCAGTGGGAGGGGTGCACAGCAGCCACGTGAGGCATTTTCTAGGGACATCAAAACAAGTTCCAAATTCAGTTCCTCATGCTTCCCTCTATGCAAGTCACAGAGACCAAAGACTGGAGAGTATGGATGGCCAAGTCTGTTGGAGACCTGCTGGAGGGAGAGTTAAAGATTCAGCAAAGCCCCTAAGCTGACAGATGAAGGAACAGCAAAGCCAGAAATCCACAGGGGCCACCCCAGTGCAGGGGCTGCTGAAGGGGCAGACAGGTCCCGGAGCACTTCATCCTTGACAGATGCTTGCCCCACAAAGCAGGACCTCCCAAAACATTTCCTCCAAAGGATGCAGTGTCTGAACACAAGGCCTGTCAGGTTTCTCCTGGAGTGTTCTGGAATGTTGTGAACAGCATATTCAGCACCCACACCTGACACAGTGAGGACATGATGGAAAGGAAGAGAAAGAAGTGAAGAGATGATCAAAGGCCCAGTATCCAGGAGAGGGCACATCAGGTAGCCCCAGGTGTTTTTCCCCAAAACGAAGGTCCCCCAGAGGAATCTCCTTGAAATTTGGAGCTGTTTCTGAAATAAGAACTGATGCGCAGTACATGCTTTGACTGTCTTAGGTGACAAGGATGAGGCACAGAGAGACGGTGGAGAGGTCCTGTGGCCAGGAGAGGACACCCCCAGCCCCAGCATCAAGGAGCGGAGGCTGGTGCGGTCAGGACCCCTGGGGTCCTGAGGGCTGGGGTCAGGGGCAGCATGGAATGGAAGAAACTGAGGCACAGCTGACTGGAAACACCCCACAACCTCCAGTCAGGTGAACAAGAGGACGCTATATGAGAAAGAAACCAGCCAGGTGCCTCCAGAGTCCTTTTGGCAGAGCCTAGAGGGAGGCTGCCCATTGGAGTCAGGAGCTGAGCAGATGAGGACACTGGGAAACCTTTTAGGGTACAAGTGAGGGCAGGGAGGGACTTCCTGGGGGCAGAGACAAGAAGTCAGATCACGAAGGTGCCCCGGAGTGCCTGCCAGAACTCTCAGGGCGAGCATGGCAGGGAGCCTTTGAGAAGCTGCTCTACCAGCTTTGTGTTTCAGGAGCCTCTCTAGATCAGAGGGTGGACCACAGATGGAAGAAACCGGCCCGGGAAAGGAAGAGAAATGGATGTAAGGAGAAGGAGAGGAAGGTGCCAGGCAGATGTTCAAGTTTCTGTCTTGAGCAACTGGTGTGTGCCAAGGACCCACTCCCGGATAGTTAGGTGTGTGTGGGCTGAGTGGGTCTGGTGTATCTCTTCTCTCCTCCACCCAGGCAAAACACAGTTACAGCGGAAACTGGAGATCTGACAGTGGTGCTCCCCCTCCTCTCTGCCACAGCGCGGGAGGACAGGTTTAAGGGAAGAGAGCACCAGCGCTCTTTCTCCTGGCTGGGGTCCTGGACCATGGGAGGTGCTCAGGTGTGGCCTGATGCTCTGAGATGGAAACGTGGGCAAGGTCAGGGCAGAGGGCCCTGTGTGGCTGAAGAAGCATTCATTTCCTCCCGAATGGGCAGAGGACCTGGGGTGGAGGACAGGCCAGTAGCCCCAGGGAGGATCTTCTTGAGGGACCTGAAGGACACACAATGACAGCCAGTGACAAGAAAGGAGCTTAGTGTTTCATAGATGCCTGCAGGGACAGAAGCTGAGGACCAGTAGGAGGAGGCCCAGCTGAGATGCCCGTAGGATAGATGTGGACCACTGACCAAATGGCCCACCCAGAAATTTGAGGCAAAGACACCCTGGCCCCAGACTGCAGGAGCCAACTCCTGGAAAAGGGGGCAGGAGGAAACCGAAATGCACTGAGAAAGTCTCAAGTGCCCAAGGTTACCCATACTGAGGAGGAAATCCCTCTTCCTCAACTGCCCAAAGGTAGCCTCTAGATGGAAAATCAGTTCTGGAAAAACACACTACATCGTATGTACTTCTGGCCTGTGATACGCGTATCCTTGCAAGTTCAGATCATCCTCTAAAGCAAGCTAGTCCAACCTGTGGCACAGGACGGCTTTGAATATGGCCCAACACAAATTCGTAAACTTAAAACATTACGGGATTTTTTAATGATTTTTTTTTTTAGTTCTTCAGCTATCTTTAGTGTCAGTGTATTTTATGTGTGGCCCAAGACAATTCTTCTTCCAGTGTGGCCCAGGGAAGCCAAAAGATTGGACACCCCTGCAAGAGTTAACATGCACAAATGCCTAGTTGGCTTCTCAAAAACTTAATATGGTGGAGAAGGCCCTTTGTGCATGATACCAAGACAAGAAAATACAGGCAGATAAAACTGGCTATTTAAAAATTGAATATCTGGTTAAAAAAAATGCCACAAAATTATCATGTTCAAAATCAAAAGACAAACCACAAAATAGAGGGCGATATCTCCAACATGTGGCAGACCAGAGCTAATCATATGTCAGATACAGACAGCTCTTGCTAGTCCACGGCAGGTAAATAAGACCTTATCAACAATCTCGCCCAAGGGCAACCACAAGCAAGCCACAGAATAAGCTATACAAAATCATGTAAAAATGTTCCACTTCACCATGTTTTTAAAAAAATCAAATTACAAAAATGGAACTTTGATTTTTACAATTAATTTGATAAAGAATAAAGCCCTATACTGGCTTTTCAAAGGATATGGAGAAAAACATGCTGGGTTTGTTGTTTACTCTTTAGTAAGTAAAGAGTAAACAGCTATCAAATTCAAAACCCGATTTCCTTGTCCGAAGCAGCCAGACTGCCTTCATCTGGGTCCCCTAGGGCGGGCCTGGGAGCTGGGCAGAACAGAGAACACATTAATCTGGGCCTCTACCCACACCTCGCAGCTGCAGCGGGTGGAGGGATGATTCTGCGAGGGGGCAGGCAGGAGGGTCCTGGGCTTGGCTTTTAGGGGAGGGGCTGGGGCTGAGGGAACAGGCTGGAGAGAGCTGTCTCATAGGGTGGGGTGCGACGCGGACACTTTCAGGCCTGCTGAACTGCAAGAGAAGCAGGGAAGGGGCGGGAAGGAGGAGAGGGGAGATGCCAGGAGTTGGGTGGGAGAGTGCGGAGAGGATGGTGTCAGAGAAGGTCCTCAGGCCCTCGCCCCACCCCCTCAGCCATCCCATAAGGCTAACTTTGTTCTTTCTCGCTACTTACCCACTTGGTCTTTCTAGAACGTTTCTTTCCAGCGAAGTCCCTCAAGTGGTTGAGGTTTGTCAACAGAGCTGAAATGCTCTCTCAAGAGGTCTTGGGGCTCCCTAGGCGTTACTGTCCCCGGTCCAGGTGGCGGCAGGAGACCACTGGAGGCCTCAGATTCCAAGCGGCCCAGGAGCGCAGTCCACCGGGCTTTTACGGGAATGCGCGCAGCCGCGGGGCGGGGCCTGGGCTCCTGGCGGTGGTCGGAAGAGGTCCCAGGACTCAATCAGTTTCCGAGGTGTAGACGCCGGTGGGGTTGATTGGGTCAGCTGCTTATCCCAGAAATGAGGTGGAACTCAATTGTATTGAGGGCTACGCCAACAGCGCAGAGGTGTTACCAGGGTATGAAGACGTTCCCCTCTCGGATGGGAGGCATTGGGGAGGAGTCCTGCAGGCGGTAGCTTTCGGTGGAGTCTGCACGCTGGATGGGCCCCAGCAGTGCTGGGGGAGTGGAGCTGACGAGGGAGGAGACAGGAGGCCCACAGGGCCAGAGGGGAGGCCTTCCGCCTTCCAAGGCCTTGTGGATGGGGCAAAAGAGGTTGGTCTCTGTCCCGGGAGCAACGCGAGCCATTGCAGAGTTTTCATCAGAAGCAGAGCAGTGTGCTCAGCTGGGGCAGATCCTGCGTTTGCTGGGTCCGAAGCTTAAACAACTGGGCCATCCCACAGGAAGAGAAGTCAAATGTTCTGAATGTGCATGCTCCTTTGAGTGCGGTCATTCGGGTATGCAGCTCCCAGTACCCCTATACCCTAACGTTTAAGGGGAGCTTCCTCTGTGCTAGGTTCTGTTCTGAGCACCTCTCACGCATTTGCTCATTTCATCCTCACACCACCTGGGGATACCCACGTTAATGCAATCAACAGGACCCAGAAAATCCAGTTGCTTATCCAGAAGGTCACAAGAAGCCCCAAAGTAGACATTATAAAATGTATACAACACAACTGATTGTCTCAGATGACCAGCAGCAGTCACTTCTCTCTGAGAGCCCCAGCTGCCTCTGGGTGCTGATGACATTGCGCCTTCCCTGCCGTTCAGCCCAGAATGGTCATGACCCCTTATTGTCCACAGACTTTGACATTCCTTCTTGCTTTCCTTACCTTTTCCCAGGCCTCTGAAAATAGTCCATGCATTAACATTCAGTGTTCTTCAATTAACCACTTGAATGTTCCACACGGGAACCTTGCCCAATACACTTTCCTTGGTTCTTCAGAATGGTTCTTGCCTTGAATCATATTTTGTCTGAGACCACCCTTACCATACATGGTTTTTGTTGAGTTGTTCGCATTACTGTCAGTATTCATCTTTTTTTAAATTTGTTTGTTTGAGACAGGGTTTCCCTCTGTTGCCCCAGCTGGAGTGCAGTGGAACAATCATAGTTCACTGCAGCCTCAAACTCCTGGGTGCAAGCAATCCTCCCACCTCGGCCTCCCAAAGTGCTGGGATTGCAGACATGAACCAAGGGGCCTGGTCAGTACTTATCTTTCAATAAATAACTTTACTTCATTCATATTTGTTTTCCTTAAATTAGCAAATCAATAGCTATATTCTCCCTACATGAATACAATATTCTTAGCACAATTTAAAAATTATCCTTTCATATTTCCCCTATATTAACATCCTATATTAATGTTGGGAATATTACCTTGATCTTGTTATATCATTTTTTAACCCATACTTATTTAGACTTACTAACAGCTTTCACTAATGACTGTGTTCACTGTTGCATTTTGACTTACACAATTTCTTTCTTAATTTCCTTTAAAATTTTGATTCTATATTTCTATAATATATAATTCATATAATTCTATAATTTGTATTGTTAGTCACTCTATGAAGATCTGTACATAGGAAAATTTGGAAAGTTTTTATATGCAAAAACATAGTTCATTCTCAATTTTGATTGACAATTTGGCTGGGTATAGAATTCTAGGTTCAGAGTTACTTGATCTTAGCACTTTGAAAATAATGTGTAATTAACCTATTGCCCCTCTTTTGTTGCTGAGAACTGTAATTTTTATCAGAATCTTTCTTTATAAATAGTTTCTTTTCCCATGCAACTAATATAAATTTTTCTTCATCCTTTCATATTTTGACATGTCCTTGGAATGTAATTATGATTTGTTTTTATTATGTGGTGGTTTGTTCTGCTACACACTTGGTATGACCTTTCAATTTGAAGATTAATTTATTTCTTCAGTTTTAATCACCTCTAACATTCATGAAGTTGATTAATGATTCACTGGTTTCACCAAAGAAAATCTGTTTCTGACACTTATAATGGGATTAAGCCAGAAATACCCAAGAAATCTTGTAGAAGAATAAAGTGGAGGACTTACACTTCCAGATTTTAAGATCTACTGTAAAGCTACAACAAATAAGTTAGCAATAGCCAAATAGATTAATGAAACAAAATAAAGAGTCCATGAACAGACCCACACATAATTTTCAACAAAGGGGCCAATGATTCAGTAGCTAAATGAAGTGCTTCTCAATGAATGTTGCTGGAGCACATGAATATCCATATCAAAAATAAATAGATCTCATCCCCTCATGTATCACATCATAGGCAAAATTAATTTGATGTGGGTCATAGACTTGATTTTACTTTTAAAATAATACAAGACAAAATAATAAAGCTTCTAAAAGAAAAATAAGAATATTTTCATTATTCTGATAACTGTACTATGGTTATGTAAGATAGTAAAATTAGAGAAAGCTGGATGAAGAGTATACATAAATTCTCTGTTTTTTTTTTACAACTTTTCTGTAAATCTAAAATTACTTTAAATAAAAGGTTTCAAAAAGGCATAACTTTA